>NT_187529.1:0-223625 GCF_000001405.40 Homo sapiens | reverse complement strand
TGACCAGCACCTCCCCACTCCCCTCTGGAGGCCACTGTTCTGCTCTCTGCTTCTCTCAGTTCAAAAGTCAGACTTACACAAGTGAGTTTTTGATATGGCCTCCCTTGGGGTTCTGCATACAAGGTAAGGGGGTAAAACATAAACATACACATTTTTCCACACTGATTATAACTATTCCACTTAAAAATCAGAATTTAAAAGTCAGGGTTTTGCTTCAGCTTCTCCTTCCTCTCCTGTGCTTCCAGCCGATCCTCAGATTAAGTGGAAGCAAACGCCTGAAAGTGAGCCCTTAGTTTTGGAACCGGTTTGTACAAATGGAAGGCATCTTCATTCCTCTCACTAAGCAGGCTCACATTCTGGCTCACTGTCATTAGCTTGTAAATAAAACCTCCCGGAGGAAGGTGCAGAACGGACTAGGAAACACGGAGTAAACAGAAATATGCAGGGAGCCCCAGCAGAGCTGCTCCGACACCCAGATCCTGTCCAACCACTGCGGTGGCAGCTGGAAACATGCGGCATGGTGTGGCCCACCTGCTCCGAGTCCTGAGCTGCGGCCCGCTGCGGTGAGGTCCCTACGGCCTGGTGCTTTCCGCATCTCAGCTCGGGAGTTCCTCCGCCTGTCTCCGAGATGGGCAGTGTGGATTTAGTGCCAGTGCGTGTCCTGTGGGAGACACGTGTCCAGTTATCGGGAGAGGGTCCGGCACCGTGACTGTGGAGGGTAGAGAGCACGGCACGAGCGACGGCAAGGCAGCCGTGCTTGTCTTTGGCAGGAACACTCCAACCCACTTTCATTTCACACTTCAGTCAAGTCGATCATAATCTGATATATTTTGGAAAAAATTAGCACTGCTCTCTTCATAGGAAAAATGATTTTAGAATTTGCAGCCAAGAGGACCCTGTCTCCACGCAGCTGAGCTGGGGCTTTCTTACAACAATCATGCAAGGGACGCGGGCTGCAGTGAGGATTTCCCCCCAGTCACTGCCAAGAGACGCATCCAAATGACAGACAACGTTAGGCTTTTCCTGGGTCGGGCGCCATCCCTGTACAGGCAAAGGGCCCAACAGCATCTTCAACCTGAGCCTGAAGACCCCAGCCCCGACCTGGAGATGAGGGGGAGGAAGCGCCGTCCCAGAGGAGCAAGGGTGGAGGCCCCCTGGTCTCTGGGAGGCGTGGAGAGCTGGGGCCGGTGCAGGAAGGGAAGCTCTGGTGAGGCTGGGACCTTTTGAGGAGGGAAGAGCAAGTTACCCGGAAATACATCACAAATACTGTGGGATTTAACTGTAAGTACAAAACAGCTTTTCCATCAGAACTTAACAGCTACTATATTTTCCAGCTGTTTGTTTCCCTTGATTCTGCGTTTTTACCTGCCCCCGCCCCCATTCCCCAAATACTGAGCTGCTGGACTCCTTCCCTTGCCTTGGTGGTCATTCATCCCTGAACTCTGCATGGCACCATCATCACCGGTCCTGAGCATTCCCCGCCCCGCCTGCCTGAAGAGGACCACAGGCCCTGGAGGTGGCTTCCCGTGACCCTGTGTCAACGCGGCAACGTTAGACAATACTGTAATACCTACAAACAAACAACTCCCGAGGTCCTCCTGGGGAGCGCAGTCCCCGCACCACAGCGCCCTCCGCATAGCCATTCCAGCACCGCCAGCAAAGTCCAGTGCACCGTCACCGCCCCACCCTTGCGGACTCCGACCTAGGTGTACATGGAAGACAGCCCTCCTGTCAGTGGGGAGGGCCTGAGTCTGCCTCTCCTCTGTACAGGCCCAACGGTCCTTGGTGGCTTCAGTGCTTGTGACGGTGTCATTAGGAGCAAATGGCATTTAGTCATCGCTTCAGCCTGATCACCGAGGGGGGCTGGGGTGTCGCTTGAGTTTGACTTGGTGACCTCTCCGCATCTCAGTTTTCTCATTCGTAAAGTGGGATAAAATAGCAACTTCCTTCAGTGAGAATACACTGACATAAAGTCTGTAAGGAGTTAGCACCAATGCCAGCTTCTATTAAAATTCAGTGAAGGTCAGGTGTTCGTGCGATGTGAAAGCACATTAATTTCTCATTCACTGTCTGCTCATTACTGTAAACGGAACTGGATCTACTTGATAATCATTTCAAAGTCACATCCACCCAGAACTTGGGAATGTTACCTTGCCTGGAAGTAAGGTTTTTTTCAGATGTAATTAGTTAGGGTGAGTCTATACTGGGGTAGGGTGGAACCTGGAATCCAGCAGGACTGGTGCCCTTATAGGAATAGGGGCATTTGAATACAGACACGCAGGGGAGAAGGCCGGGTAAAGACAGAGGGAGAGGTTGGCGTGAGGAGTCTGTAGGCCAAGCAATGCCAGTGAACACCAGCAGGGCACCAAAGGCTGGATGTGCAAGGCGCATTCGTCCTTCCAACCTTCGGGGGGAGCAAAGCCCTGCCAACACCGTGACTTGCTCTTCTGGTCTCCAGAACTGTGAGAACATCAACGTCTGTTGCTTTAAGCCACCAAACGTGTGGTTCTTTGTTATGGCAGCCCTCGCCCTCCTCAGCCTGAACCATCACCACTCTGCCTTACCTCTCAATATCCCAAGTAAAAGCCACCTGAAGCAACCATGTCTTAACAGAGCATGTCTTGGAAATGTTGAAAAAAGACTTTCCCCATTTTATGAATTTGCTGCATAATAGAAATTTAAATTAAAATAATTGGCATTCACTGTTCACCATTGTTTTATAAGCACCATGCTTATTTCAATCTAGAGAGCTCTTATGTCTTTTTAAATTATTTTCTATATTCATTGAGGTTCTGAATTGCATAAAAGCATCAAAAACAATCCTTGTCAAATAATCCTGACTTTTCTATACAATTGCATATATGGATATTTCACCATTTGAATTCGATCTTCTTCATGAACACTTTAGAAACAAGGACAGGGTATGCCCGTGCCTCTGAATTCAACCCGCTTTCCTTTGTATCAGGTCGGAGCACCACCTTAAGATGAGAAATATTAACTGCACTCTTACTAATTGAGACATGCTTCTGGGCAAAGAAGGGAGGAGAGATTCACAGGGAGAAGCCACTCCCTGCAGGGGGGATTTGAGGAGGTTGTACACAGTATGGGGTATTTGAGAAGGTTGAACACAGTGCGGGGATTTGAGGAGGTTGCACACAGTGGGGAGGATTTGAGGAGGCTGCACACAGTGTGGGGGATTTGAGGAGGTTGCACACAGTGGGGGGACTTGAGGTGGCACACAGTAGAGGGATTTGGGGGGGTTGCACAGAGTGGGGGGATTTGAGAAGGTTGCACACACTACGGGGGATTTCGGGAGGTTGCAGAGTGGGGGAAATTGGGCAGGTTGCACAGAGTGGTGGGGATTTGAGGAGGTTGCACACAGTGGGGGGGATTTGAGATTGCACACAGTGGGGGGATTTGAGGAGGTTGCTCACAGTGGGGGGATTTGGGGACATTGCTCACAATGGGGGGATTTGGGGAGGTTGTACTCAGTGAGGGAGATGTGGGGAGTTTGCAGACAGTTGGGGGATTTGGGGAGGTCGCTCACAGTTGGGATTTGAGGAGGTTCCACAGAGTAGGGGGATTTGCGGAGGTTGCACACATTGGGGGGGATCTGGGGATGTTGCACACAGCGGGGTGATTTGAGGAGTTTGCACACAATGGGGGGATTTGGGGGTGTTGAACACAGTTGGGGGATTTCAGGAGGTTGCACACTGGGGGGGATAGGCGGAGGTTGCACAGAGTTGGGGGGATTTGGGGAGGCTGCACAGAGTGGAAGAATTTGAGGAGGTTGCACACAGTGGGGAGATTTGGGAGTTTGCACACAATGGGAGGGTTTGGGGAGGTTGCTCACAGTGGGGGGATTTGAGGGAGTTGCACACAGTAGGGCGATAGGCGGAGGTCGAACAGAGTGGAGGATTTGGGGAGGTTGGACAGAGTAGGTTTGGGGACGTTGCAGAGGGTGGGGGGGATTTGGGGAGGTTGCACACAGTGGGGGGATTTGAGGTGGTTCGAAACAGTTGGGGGATTTGGGGAGGTGGCACACAGTGGGGGGATTTGGGGAGGTTGCTACACAGTTGGGGAAATAGGGGGCACTTGCACAGAGTGGGGGTATTTGCGGAGGTTGCACATAGGGGGGATCTAGGGAGGTTGCACACAGTGGACGGATTTGGTGAGGTTGCACACAGTGGCAGGGATTTGGGGAGGTTGCACACAGTGGGGGTATTTGAGGACGTTGCACACAGTGGGGGGATTTGAGGTTGCACACAGTGGGGGAGATTGGGGGGTTGCACACAGGGGGATTTGAGAGGTTGCTCACATTGGGGGGGATTTGGGAGGTTGCAAACAGTTGGGATTTGGGGAGGTTGCACAGAGTGGTGGGTATTCGGGGAGGTTGAACACAGTGGCGGGATTTGGGGAGGTTGCACACAGTGGGGGGGATTTGGGGAGGTTGCACAGATTGCGGGGGATTTGGGGAGATTACACAGAGTGATGGGGATTTGGGGAGGTTGCACAGAGTGGTGGGGATTTGAGGAGGTTGCATACATTTGGTTGGATTTATGGAGGTTGCACAGAAAGGAGATCTGGGGAGGTTGCACACAGTGGGGGGGGGGATTTGGGGAGGTTTCACAAAGCTAGGGGCATTTGAGGAGAATGCACACAGTGGGGCGATTTGGGGACGTTGCACACACTGGGGGGGATTTGAGGAGGCTACTCAGAGTGGGGGAGGAATTTGAGGAAGTTGCACGCAGTGAGAGGGATTTCAGGAGGTTGCTCACAGTGGGGGGATTTGAGGAGGTGTCACATAGTGGGGGGATTTGGGGGGGTGCACAAACTGGAAGGGATGGGGGAGGTTTCACAGAGTGGCGGGGATTTGGGGAGGTTGCACAGAGTGGGGGGGATTTCGGGACGTTGCACACAGTGGGCATTTGGGGAGGTTGCACAAAGTTGGGGGGATTTCGGGAGGTTGCACACAGTGGGGGGATTTGAGGAGGTTCCAAACAGTTGGGGGGATTTGGGGAGGTTGCACACAGTGGGGGCGATTTCGGGAGGTTGCACACAGTGGGGGGATTTGGGGGGCTTGAACACATTGGGGGGAACGGGGAGGTTGCATAGATTGGGGGATTTGGGGAGGTTGCACATAATGGGGGGATTTGGGAAGGTTGCACACAGTGGGGGGATTTGGGAAGGTTGCACACAGTGGGGGGATTTGAGGAGGTTGCACACAGTGGGGGGATTTGAGGAGGTTGCGCAGAGTGGGGGGGATTTGGGGAGATTGTGCAGAGTGGGGGGATTTGAGGAGGTTGCACATAGTGTGGGGGATTTGGGGAGGTTGCACACGGGATTTGGGGGGGTTGCACACATTCGGGGACTTGAGGTTGCACAAAGTTGGGGGGATTCGGGGAGGTTGCACACAGTTTGGGGATTTGAGCAGGTTGCACACAGTGGGAGGGATGGCGGAGGTTGCACAGAGTTGGGGGGATTTCGGGAGGTTGCACAGAGTGGGGGGATTTGGGGAGGTTGCACACACTGGGTGGATTTCGGGAGGTTGCACACACTGGGGGCATGTGGGGAGGTTGCACAGAGTGGGGGGATTTGAGGAGGTTGCACACAGCGAGGGAGGATTTGAGGAGGTTGTACACTGCGGGGCAATTTGAGGAGGTCTTCGCAGTGGGGGGATTTGGGGAGGTTGCTCACAATGTGGTGATTTGGGGAAGTGGCACACGGGGATTTGGGGAGGTTGCACCCAGTGGGAGGGATAGGCGGAGGTTGCACGGAGTGGGGCTGATTTGGGGAGGTTGCACAGAGTGGGGGGGATTTGGGGAGGTTGCACACAGTAGGGGGATTTGGGGAGGTTGCTCACAGTGGGGAGATTTGAGGAGGTTGCACACAGTGGGGGGATTTGAGTAGGTTGCATACAGTGGGGGGGATTTGAGGAGGTTGCACACAGTACAGGGATTTGAGGAGGTTGCATACAGTATGGGGGATTTTGGGAGGTTGCACAGAGTGGGGTGGATTTGGGGAGGTTGCACAGAATGGGGGGAAATTGATGAGGTTGCACAAGTGGCGGGATTTGGTGTGGTTGCCCACAATGGGGGGGGGGGGGATTTGGGGAGGTTGCACAGAGTGGGGGGATGTGAGGAGGTTACACAGAGTTAGGTAGATTTGGGGAAGGTGCACAGAGTGGGGGAGATTTGGGGAGGTTGCACACAGTGGGGGGGATTTGGGGAGGTTGTACACACTTGCGGCGATTTAGGGAAATTGCACACACTGGGGGGATTTGAGGAGGTTGCTCACAGTGGCGGAGGATTTGAGGAGACTGCACACATTGGGGAGGGATTTGGGGAGGTTGCACACAGTGAACAGATTAGAGGAGGTTGTGCACAGTGGTGGGATTTGGGGGGGTTACACACAGTGGGGGACTTGAGGTTGCACACAGTGGGGGGGATTTGGGGAGGTTACCCACAGTGGGGATATTTGAGGAGGTTGCACACAGTGGGGGAGATTTGAGGAGGTTGCACACACTAGAGGGAATTGAGGAGGTTGCACACTGTGTGGGGGATTTTTGGAAGTTGCACAGAGTGGGGGGGGTATTTGGGGACATTGCACAGAGTGGGCGGGATTTGTGGAGGTTGCACACAGTGGCGCGATTTGGTGCGGTTGCACAGTGTGGGCGGATTTGGGGAAGTTGCACAGAGTGGTAGGGATTTGGGGAGGTTGCACAGAGTGGGAGGGATTTGGGGAAGTTGCACACTGCGTGGGGGGTTTGGGGAGTTTGCACAGAGTGGGAGGGATTTGAGATTGCACTGGGGGTAATTTTGTGAGGCTGCACAGGGTGGGGGCGGATTTGGGGAGGTTGCACACAGTTGGAGGGATTTGGGGAGGTTGAACACAGTTGGACGACTTAGGGAAGTTGCACACAGTGGGAAAATTTGATGAGGTTGCGCACAGCGAGGGGGATGTGAGGAGGTTGCTCATATTGGGGGGATTTGAGAAGGTTGCTCTGAGTGATGGGGGATTTGAGGAGGTTGCACACAGTGGGGGAGATTGGGGGGTTGCACACGGGGGATTTGGGAGGTTGCTCGCATTGGGGGGGATTTGGGAGGTTGCAAACAGTTGGGGGGATTTGGGGAGGTTGCACAGAGTGGGGGCGTTTTGGGGAGGTTGCACAGAGTGGTGGGTATTCGGGGAGGTTGAACACAGTGGTGGGATTTGGGGAGGTTGCACAGATTGGGGGGGATTTGGGGAGATTACACAGAGTGATGGGGATTTGGGGAGGTTGCACAGAGTGGTGGGGATTTGAGGAGGTTGCATACATTTGGTTGGATTTATGGAGGTTGCACAGAAAGGAGATCTGGGGAGGTTGCACACAGAGTGGGGGGGATTTGGGGAGGTTTCACAAAGCTAGGGGCATTTGAGGAGAATGCACACAGTGGGGCGATTTGGGGACGTTGCACACACTGGGGGGGATTTGAGGAGGCTACTCAGAGTGGGGGAGGAATTTGAGGAAGTTGCACGCAGTGAGAGGGATTTCAGGAGGTTGCTCACAGTGGGGGGATTTGAGGAGGTGTCACATAGTGGGGGGATTTGGGGGGGTGCACAAACTGGAAGGGATGGGGGAGGTTTCACAGAGTGGCGGGGATTTGGGGAGGTTGCACAGAGTGGGGGGGATTTCGGGACGTTGCACACAGTGGGCATTTGGGGAGGTTGCACAAAGTTGGGGGGATTTCGGGAGGTTGCACACAGTGGGGGGATTTGAGGAGGTTCCAAACAGTTGGGGGGATTTGGGGAGGTTGCACACAGTGGGGGCGATTTCGGGAGGTTGCACACATTTGGGGGGATTTGAGGAGGTTGCAAACAGTGTGGGGATTTGAGGAGGTTGCACACAGTGGGGGGATTTGGGAAGGTTGCACACAGTGGGGGGATTTGAGGAGGTTGCGCAGAGTGGGGGGGATTTGGGGAGATTGTGCAGAGTGGGGGGATTTGAGGAGGTTGCACATAGTGTGGGGGATTTGGGGAGGTTGCTCACAGTGGGGGGATATGGGGGGATATGGGGAGATTGCACACAGTGGGGGGATTTGGGAAGGTTGCTCACAGTGGGGGGATTTGGGGACGTTGCACACAGTGGGGGATTTGGGGAGGTTGCACACAGTGGAGAGATTTGAGGAGGTTGCTCGCAGTAGGGGGATTTGAGGAGGTTGCACACAGTGGGGGGATTTTTGGGGGGTGCACACAGTGGGGGACTAGAGGAGGTTGCACACAGTGGGAGGGATTTGGGGAGGCTGGACACAGTGGGGGGATTTGAGGAGGTTGCACATAGTGGGGGAGATTTTGCGAGGTTGCACATAGGGAGATTTTGGGAGGTTGCAAACTGGGGGTATTTGAGGAGGTTGCGCAGAGTGGGGGGGATTTGGGGAGATTGTGCAGAGTGGGGGGATTTGAGGAGGTTGCACATAGTGTGGGGGATTTGGGGAGGTTGCTCACAGTGGGGGGATATGGGGAGATTGCACACAGTGGGGGGATTTGGGAAGGTTGCTCACAGTGGGGGATTTGGGGAGGTTGCACAGAGTGGGTGGTTGTGAGGAAGTTGTACACAGTTGGGGGGGTTTGGGGAGGTTGTACAGAGTGGGGGGGGATTTGTGGAGATTGCACACTGTGGGGGGGATTTGGGGAGGTCGCACACAGTTGGGGGGATTTGAGGAGGTTGCTGACAGTGGGGTATTTGAGGAGGTTGCTCAGAGTGGCGGGGGTTTTGAGGAGGTTTTGCACTGTGGGGGGGATTTGAGGAGGTTGCACAGTGCGGGGCAATTGCAGGAGGTTACTCACAGTGGGGGGATTTGGGGAGGTTGCTCACAGTGGTGGGGGATTTGAGGAGGTTGCGCACTGTGGGGGGTATTTGTGGAGGTTGCACACAGGGGATTAGAGGAGGTTGCGCACAGTGGGAGTTTTGTGGGGGTTGCACACAGTGGGGGACTTGAGGAGGTTGCACACAGTGGGGGGATTTGAGGAGGTTGCAGGCAGTGGGGGGATTTGAGGAGGTTGCTCACAGTGGTGGGGGATTTGAGGAGGTTGCGCACTGTGGGGGGCATTTGTGTAGGTTGCACACAGTGAGGGGATTAGAGGAGGTTGCGCACAGTGGGGGGATTTGTGGGGGTTGCACACAGTGGGGGACTTGAGGAAGGTGCACACAGTGGGGGGTATTTGGGGAGGTTGCACACAGTGAGGGGATTTGAGGACGTTGCACACAATAGGGGAGATTTTGGGAGGTTGCACACAGTGGGGAGATTTGAGGAGGTTGCTCGCAGTGGGGGGATTTGAGGAGGTTGCACACAGTGGGGGTGATTTGAGGAGGTTGCACACAGTAGGGTGATTTGAGGAGGTTGCACACAGTGTGAGGGATTTGGGGAGGTTGCAGAGAGTGGGGGTGATTTGGGGAGGTTGCAGAGAGTGGGGGTGATTTGGGGAGGTTGCAGAGAGTGGGGGTGATTTGGGGAGGTTACAGAGAGTGGGGGTGATTTGGGGAGGTTGCAGAGAGTGGGGGGGATTTGGCGAGGTTGCAAAGAGTGGGCGGGATTTGGGGAGATTGCACACAGTGTCGTGATTGGGCGAGGTTGCACACATTGAGGGGTGTTTTGGGGAGGTTGCACAGAGTGGGGGGGATATGGGGCGGTTGCACAGAGTGTGGGGGTTTGGGGAGTTTGCACAGAGTGGGAGGGATTTGAGGAGGTTGCACACAGTGGGGGCAATTTTGGGAGGTTGCACAGAGTCGGGAGGATTTGGGGAGGCTGCACACAGTGGGAGGGATTTGGGGAGGTTGCTCACAGTGGGAGGGATTTGGGGAGGTTGAACACAGTGGGGGCAATTTTGGGAGGTTGCACAGAGTCGGGAGGATTTGGGGAGGCTGCACACAGTGGGAGGGATTTGGGGAGGTTGAACACAGTTGGGGGATTTAGGGAAGTTGCTGACATTAGGGGGGATTTGAGAAGGGTCCACACAGTGGGGGGAATATGAGGCGGTTGCACACAGTGGGGGCGATTTGGGGTGGTTGCAGACAGTGTGGGGATTTGGGGAGGTTGCTCACAGTGGGGGGGATTTGGGGAGGTTGCACACAGTGGGGGGTTTTGGGGAGGTTGCACACAGTGGGGGGATTTGGGGAGGTTGCACACAGTGGGGGGATTTGAGGAGGTTGCACATAGTGGGGGTATTTGGGGGGGTTGCACACAGTGGGAAAGATAGGGTGAGGTTGCACAGAGTGGAGGGATTTGAGGAGGTTGCACATACTGGGGGGATTTGAGGAGGTCGCACATAGTGGGGGGATTTGGGGAGGTCGCACAGAGTGGGGGGGATTTGGGGAGGTTGCACACAGTGGGGGGATTTGCGGAGGTTGCACACAGTGGGGGTATTTGGGGAGGTTGCACGCAGTGAAGGGATTTCAGGAGGTTGCACACAGTCGGGGGATTTGAGGACGTTGCCCCCCATGGGGGGATTTGAGGAGGTTGCACACAGTGGGGGGGATTTGAGGAGGTTGCACACAGTGGGGGGGATTTGAGGAGGTTGCACACAGTAGGGGGATTTGAGAAGGTTGCACACAGTGTGGGGGATTTGGGGAGGTTGCAGAGAGTCGGGGAGTTGGGGAGGTTGCACAGAGTGTGGGGGATTTGGGGAGGTTGCACACATCGTGGGATTTTGTGACGTTGCCCACAATGGGGGGGATTTGGGGGGGTTGCACAGAGTGGGGGAGATTTGGGGAGGTTGCACAGAGTGAGGGGGATTTGAGGATGTTGCACACAGTTGATGGGATTTCGGGAGGTTGCACACAGTGGTGGGGATTTGGAGAGGTTGAATACAGTTTAGGGGATTTAGGGAAGTTGCACACACTGGGGATATTTGGGGACGTTGCACACACTTGGGGGGATTTGAGGAGGTTTCTCACAGTGTGGGGATTTTAGGAGGTTGCTCACACTGGCGGGGGATTTGAGGAGGTTGCACACAGTGGGGGGATTTTTGGGGGGTGCACACAGTGGGGGACTAGAGGAGGTTGCACACAGTGGGAGGGATTTGGGGAGGTTGGACACAGTGGGGGGATTTGAGGAGGTTGCACATAGTGGGGGAGATTTTGCGAGGTTGCGCATAGGGAGATTTTGGGAGGTTGCAAACAGTGGGGGGATTTGAGGAGGTTGCACAGAGTGTGGGAGACTTGGGGAGGTTGCAGAGAGTGGGGGTGATTTGGGGAGGTTGCACACAGTGTCGTGATTGGGCGAGGTTGCACACAGTGAGGGGTGTTTTCGGGAGGTTGCACAGAGTTGGGGGGATATGGGGAGGCTGCAAGGGGGGGGTTTGGGGAGTTTGCACAGAGTGGGAGGGATTTGAGGAGGTTGCACACAGTGGGGGCAATTTTGGGAGGTTGCACAGCGTCGGGGGGATTTGGGGAGGCTGCACACAATGGGAGGGATTTGGGGAGGTTGCTCACAGTGGGGGGATTAGAGGAGGTTGCACACAGTGGGGGGATTTGAGGAGATTGCTCACAGTGGGGGGATTTGAGGAGGTTGCACGCAGTGGGGGGATTTGAGGAGGTTGCACACAGTGGGGGTGATAGGAGGTTGCACACAGTACGGGGATTTGAGGAGGTTGCTCACATTGGGGGGATTTGAGAAGGTTGCTCTGAGTGGTGGGGGATTTGAGGAGGTTGCACACGGTGGGGCATTTGGGGAGATTGCTCACAGTGGGGGGATTTGGGGAGGTTGCAACAAGTGGGATTTGGGGAGGTTGCTCACAGTGGGGGGATATGGGGAGATTGCACACAGTGGGGGGATTTGGGAAGGTTGCTCACAGTGGGGGCATTTGGGGATGTTGCAGACAGTGGGGGGATTTGGGGACGTTGCACATAGTGGGGGGATTTGGGGAGGTTGCACACAGTGGGGGAATTTGGGGACGTTGCACACAGTGGGGGGATTTGGGGAGGTTGCACACAGTGGGGGGATTTGAGGAGGTTGCACAGAGTGGGGGGATTTAGCACGGTTGCACACAGTGGGGGGGATTTGAGGAGGTTGCACAGAGTGGGGGGGATTTGGAGAGGCTGCACACAGTGGGGGGATTCAGGGAGGTTGCACACAGTGGGGGGATTCGGGGAGGTTGCACACAGTGGGGGGATTTGGAGAGGTTAAACACAGTTGGGGGGATTTAGGGAAGTTGCACACACTGGGGAGATTTGGGGAGGTTGCACAGAGTTGGGATTTGAGGAGGTTACTCACAGTGGGGGGATTTTAGGAGGTTACTCACAGTGGGGGGATTTTAGGAGGATGCGCACACTGGGAGGATTTGTGGGGGTTGCACACAGTGGGGGACGTGAGGAGGTTGCACACAGTGGAGAGGATTTGGGGAGGTTGCACACAGTGGGGGATTTGAGGAGGTTGCACACAGTAGGAGGATTTGGGGAGGTTGCTCACAGTGGGGGGATTGGAGGAGGTTGCACACAGTGGGGGGATTTGAGGAGGCTGCACACAGTGTGGGGGATTTGGGGAGGTTGCACAGAGTGGGTGGGATTTGGGGAGGTTGCACAAGGTAGGGGGGATTTGGGGAGGTTGCACACAGTGGTGGATGTGGTGAGGTTGCACACAGTGGGGGGGATTTGGGGAGGTTTCACAGACTGGGGTAGATTTGGGGCGGTTGCACAGAGTGGGGCGATTTGGGGAGTTTGCAAAGAGTGGGAGGGATTTGAGGAGGTTGTACACAGTTGGAATTTGGGGAAATTGCACAGAAGGGGGGATTTGAGGAGGTTGCACACAGTTGAGAGATTTGAGGAGGTTGCACACAGTGGGGGGATTTGAGCAGGTTGCACACCGGGTGATTTGAGGAGGTTGCACACAGTGGCGGGATTTGGGGTGGTTGCTCACAATGGGGGGACTTGGGGGGTTGCAGACTTGGGAGGATTTGTGGAGGTTGCACACAGTGGGGGAATTTGTGTTTTTGCTCACTGTGGGGGAGATTTGGGGGGTTGCCTACATTGGGGGGATTTGGGGAGGTTTCACACAGTGGGGGGATTGGAGGAGGTTGCACACAGTGGGGGGATGTGGGGGTTTGCTCACAGTGGGTGAGATTTGGTTGGGTTGCACACAGTGCGGGGATTTGAGGAATGTTGCACACAGTGGGGGATTTGTGCTTTTGCTCACAGTGGGGGAGATCTGGGGGGGTTGCACACAGTGGGGAGATTTGAGGAGGTTGCACATAGTGGGAGGATTTGAGGAGGTTCCTCACATTGGGGGGATTTGAGGAGGTTGCACGCAGTGGGGTATTTGAGGAGGTTGCACGCAGTGGGGGGATTTGAGGAGGTTGCTCACATTGGGGGGATTTGAGGAGGTTGCACGCAGTGGGGGGATTTGAGGAGGTTGAACACAGTGGGGGGGATTTGAGGAGGTTGCACACAGTATGGGGATTTGAGGAGGTTGCATACAGTGTGTGGGATTTTGGGAGGTTGCACAGAGTGGGGGGGATTTGGGGAGGTTGCCCAGAGTGGGAGAAATTTGGTGAGGTTGCACACAGTGGCGGGATTTTGTGTGGTTGCCCACAATTGGGTGGGATTTGGGGAGGTTGCACAGATTGGGGGGGGATTTGGGGAGTCTGCAGAGAGTAGGGGTGACTTGGAGAGGTTGCACAGAGTGGTGGGGATGTGAGGAGGTTGCACACAGTTGGTATTTGGGGAAGCTGAACACAGTTGGAGGGATTTAGGGAAGTTGCACACACTGGGAGGATTTGGGGAGGTCGCACACAGATGGGGGGATTTGAGGAGGTTGCACACAGTGGGGTATTTGAGGAGGTTGCTCACAGTGGCGGAGGATTTGAGGAGGTTGCACACAGTGGGGGGGATTTGGGGTGGTTGCACACAGTGCGGGGATTTGGGGAGGTTGCTCACGGGGGGTATTTTGGGAGGTTACACAGTGAGGGGATTTGGGGAGGTTACACAGTGAGGGGATTTGGGGAGGTTGCTCACAGTGGGGGTTTTGGGGAGGTTGCACACAGTGGGGGGATTTGAGTAGGTTGCATATAGTTGGGGGATTTGGGGCGGTTGCACACAGTGGGAGGGATAGGGGAGGTTGCACAGAGTGGGGGGATTTGAGGAGGTTGCACACAGTGGGGGTATTTGCGGAGGTTGCAGAAAGTGGGGGGATTTGGGGAGGTGGCACACAGTGAGGGGATTTGAGGAGGTTGCTCACAGTGGGGGGATTTGAGGAGGTTGCACACAGTGGGGGGGATTTGAGGAGGTTGCACACAGTGTGGGGATTTGAGTAGGTTGCACAGAGTGTGGGGGATTTGTGGAGGTTGCACAGAGTGGAGGGGATTTGGGGAGGTTGCACACACCGGGGGATTTTGTGACATTGCCCACAAAGCAGGGGATTTGGGGAGGTTGCACAGAGTGGGGAGGATTTGGGGAGGTTGCATAGATTGGGGGGGATTTGGGGAGGTTGCATAGATTGGGGGGGATTTGGGGAGGTTGCACAGAGTGGTGGGGATTTGAGGATGTTGCACACATTAGGTGGGATTTGGGGAGGTTGCATACAGTGGGGGGGGGATTTGGGGAGGATGAACACAGTTTGGGGGATTTAGGGAAGTTGCACACACTGGGGAGATTTGGGGAGGTTGCACAGAGTTGGGGGGATTTGTGGAGGTTGCTCACAGTGGCGTGGGATTTGAGAAGGTTGCACACAGTGAGAGGATTTGAGGAGGTTGCGAACACTGGGAGGATTTGCGGGGGTTGCACACAGTGGCGGACTTGAGGTTGCACACAGTGGAGGGGATTTGGGGAGGTTGCACACAGTTGGGGGATTTGAGGTTTCACACAGCATGTTGATTTGGGGGGGTTGCTCACATTGGGGGGCATTTGGGGGGTTGCACACAGTGGGGGGAATTGAGGTTGCACACACTGGGGGGATTTGTGGTTTTGCTCACAGTGGGGGAGATGTGGGGTGTTTGCACACTGTGGGGGGACTGGGGTGGTTGCTCACAGTGGGGGGGACTTGGGGGTGTTGCACACATCGGGGGGATTTGAGGAGGTTGCACACAGTGGGGGGATTTGAGGAGGTTGCACACAGTGGGGGGATTTGGAGGTTTGCACATGGAGGGATGGGGGAGGTTGCACAGAGTCGGGGGGATTTGGGGAGGTTGCGCACAGTGGGAGGATTTGGGGAGGTTGCGCACAGTGGGGGGATTTGGGGAGGTTGCACACAGTGGGCGGATTTGGGGAGGTTGCACACAGTGGGGGATTTGGGGAGGTTGCTCACAGTGGGGAGATTTGGGAAGGTTGTAAACAGTCGGGGGATATGAGGAGGTTGCGCACAGTGGGGGGATTTGAGGAGGTTGCACACAGTATTGGGATTTGAGGAGTTTGCACACATTGTGGGGGATTTTGGGAGGTTGCACAGAGTGGGGGGCATTTGGGTAGGTTGCACACGGGGAAATTTGGTGAGGTTGCACACAGTGGCGGGATTTAGTGTGGTTGCCCACAGTGGGGTGAGATTTGGGGAGTTTGCAGAGTGGGGGTGATTTGGGGAGTTTGCACAGAGTCGGGGGGATTTGGGGGAGGTTGCACATAGTGGGTGGGATTTTGGGGCTTGCACACATTGGGGGGATTTGAGGAGGTTGCACACAGTGGGGGGATTTGTGGTTTTGGTCATAGGGAGATTTGGGGGGTTTGCACACAGTGGGGGGATTTTGGGAGGTTACACACAGTGGGGGGATTTGAGGAGGTTGTACCCAGTGGGGGTTTTGGGGGTTTGCTCACAGTGGGGGAAATTTGGGGGTGTTGCAAACAGTGGGGGGTTTTGGGGAGGTTGCACACAGTGGGGGGATTTGAGGAAGTTGCACACATTGGGGGGATTTGTGGTTTTGCTCACAGTGGGGGAGATTTGGTGGAGTTGCACATAGTGAGGGGATTTGAGGAGGCACACAGTGGGGGGGATTTGAGGAGGTTCCACAGAGTAGGGGATTTGAGGAGGTTGCACCCAGTGTGAGGGATTTGGGGAGGTTGCACACAGTGAGGGGATTTGAGCAGGTTGCACAGTGGGGGGACTTGGGCGGATTGCACACAGTGGGGGACTTGAGGAGGTTGCACACAGTGAGGGTGATTTGGGGAGGTTGCACACAGTTTGGGGATTTGAGCAGGTTGCACACAGTAGGGGGATTTGGGGGGGTTGCACACAGTGGGAGGGATAGGGGGAGGTTGCACAGAGTTGGGGGATTTGGCGAGGTTGCTCAGAGTTGGGTGGATTTGGGGAGGTTGCACACACTGGGGGGATTTGGGGAGGTTGCACAGAGTCGGGATTTGAGGAGGTTGCACACAGCGGGGGAGATTTGAGGAGGTTGTACAGTGCGGGCAATTTGAGGAGGTTACATCACAGTGGGGGGATTTGGGGAGGTTGCTCAGAATGTGGGGATTTGGGGAAGTGGCACACAGTTGGGGGATTTGAGGAGGCTGCTCATAGTGGGGCGATTTGGGGAGGTTGCTCACAGTGAGTAGAGTTGTAAAGGTTGCACACACTGGGGGGAATGTGGGGAGTTTGCACACAGTGGGGGGATTTGGGGAGGTTGCCCACAGTGGGGGGATTTGAGGAGGTTGCAGGCAGTAGGGGGATTTGAGGAGGTTGCACACAGTGAGCGGATTTGAGGAGGTTACACACAGTAGGGGGATTGGGGGGGTTGCACACAGTGGGGGACCTGAGGTTGCACACAGTGGGTGGGATTTGGGGAGGCTGCACACAGTGGGAGGATTTGAGGAGGTTGCACACAGTGGGTGGGATTTGGGGGGTTGCACACAGTGGGGGGATTTGGGGGGGTTGCACACAATGGGAGGGAAAGTTGGAGGTTGCACAGAGTGGGGGGGATTTGGGGAGGTTGAACAGAGTGGAGGGATTTGGGGAGGTTGCTTACAGTAGGGGGATTTGGGGTGGTTGCACACAGTGTGGGGATTTGAGGAGGTTGCTCACTGTGAGGAGATTTGAGGAGGTTGCACACAGTGGGGGGATTTGAGGAGGTTGCACACAGTGGGGTGGATTTGAGGAGGTTGCACACAGGATGGGGATTTGAGGAGGTTGCACACAGTTTGGGGGATTTTGGGAGGTTGCACAGAGTTGGGGGTATTTGGGGAGGTTGCACGGAGTGGGGGGAATTTGGTGAGGTTGCACACAGTGGCAGGATTTGGTGTTGTTGCCCACAATGGGGGGGATTTGGGAAGGTTGCACAGAGTGGGGGGGATTTGGTGAGTTTGCAGAGAGTAGGGGGGATTTGGGGAAGTTGCACAGAGTGGGGGGATTTGGGAAGGTTGCACACAGTAGGGGGGATTTGGGGAGGTTGATTACAGTTGGGGGGATTTAAGCAAGTTGTACACACTGGGGGGATTTGGGGAGCTCACACACAGTTGGGGGGATTTGAGGAGTTTGCTCACAGTGGGGGGATTTGGGGAGGTTGCACACAGTGAGGGGATTAGAAGAGGTTGCACACAGTGGCGGTATTTGGGGGGGTTGCACACAGTGGGGGACCTGAGGAGGTTGCACACAGTGGGGGGGATTTGGGGAGGCTGCACACAGTGGGGTGATTCGAGGAGGTTGAACACAGTGGGGGGTGATTTGAGGAGGTTGCTCACAGTAGGGGGATTTGAGGAGTTTGCACACAGTGTGGGGGATTTGGGGAGGTTGCACAGAGTGGTGGGGATTTGGGGAGGTTGCTCAGAGTGGGGGGGATTTGGGGAGGTTGCATAGAGTCGGGGGGATTTGGGGAGTTTGCATAGAGTGGGAGGGAACTGAGGAGGTTGCACACAGTGGGGGTAATTTGGGGAGGTTGCACAGAGTGGGAGGGATTTGGGGTGTTTGCACACAATGGGAGGTATTTGGGGAGGTTGAACACAGTGGGGGGATTTAGGGAAGTTGCACACAGTGGGGGGATTTGGGGAGGTTGCTCACAGTGGGGGGATTTGGGGAGGTTGCTCACAGTGGGGGGATTTGGGGAGGTTTTACACAGTGGGGGGATTTGGGGAGGTTGCTCAAAGTGGGGGGATTTGGGAGGTTGCAAACAGTTGGGGGGATTTGAGGAGGTTGCACACAGTGTGGGGGATTTTGGGAGGATGCACAGGGTGGGGCGGATTTGGGGAGGTTGCACAGAGTGCGCAGGATTTGGGGAGGTTGCACACAGTGTCGGGATTTGGTGAGGTTGCACACAGTTGGGGAGATTTGGGGAGGTTGCACAGAGTTGGGGGGATCTGGGGAGTTTGCACAGCGTGGGAGGGATCTGAGGAGGTTGCACACAGTGGGGGGAATTTGGGGAGGTTACACAGAGTGGAGGGGATTTGAGGAAGTTGCACACAGTGGGGGGATTTGAGGAGGTTTCACACAGTGGTGGGATTTGAGGAGGTTGCACCCAGTGGGGGGATTTGGGGTTTTGCTCACAGTGGGGGAGATTTGGGGGGTTGCACACAGTGGTGGGATTTGAGGAGGTTGCACACAGTGGGGGGATTTGAGGACCTTGCATACAGTGGGGGTTTGGGGAGGTTGCAGACAGTGGGTGGTGTTTGGGTGTAGCCTTTGCGATGTGTCAGACTTGAACATTCGAAGCCAGGTTGAGATGATAAGGAGGGAGTATTCTATGGAGAGATTGAGGCTTGAATAAAAGCCAAGAAGTGGGAATGGCTGGGCATCACACGGTGGCAGGGCCTGTGTGAGGTAGATGGTCTGGGGGCAGGAGAGGGAGACAGATCAGAGAGACTGTGAGGGCACGGTGGCGGGCCGGTGTGGGGTAGAGAGTCTGTGAGGGCACGGTGGCAGGCAGGTGTGGGGAAGAGAGACTGCGAGGGCACGGTGGCAGGCAGGTGTGGGGTAGAGAGACTGTGAGGGCACGGTGGCGGGCCGGTGTGGGGTAGAGAGTCTGTGAGGGCACGGTGGCAGGCAGGTGTGGGGTAGAGAGACTGTGAGGGCAAGGTGGCAGGGCCGGTGTGGGGTAGAGAGACTGTGAGGGCACGGTGGCGGGCAGGTGTGGGGTAGAGAGACTGTGAGGGCACGGTGGCGGGCCGGTGTGGGGTAGAGAGACTGCCAGGGCATGGTAGCAGGGCCAGTGTGGGGTAGAGACTGTAAGGGCACGGTGGCAGGGCCGGTGTCGGGTAGAGAGACTGCCAGGGCACGGTGGCAGGGCCGGTGTGGAGTAGACAGCCTGGGGTCAGGAGAGGGAGGAAGGCACATTTCCCACCTATACTTGCTCAGAAGTGGGTGAAGAAAGTGGGGCCACAGAGGGAGGGGCTGGGAGCTGCCCAGAGAAAGCAGATGAGCCTGGCAGCCAGGCTTGGGTTCTGGGCTGGAAACTGGACAATGCGTTTAGCTGAACCCACGGGGGGACTGGGGTGGGAGGCTGTCCTTGCTGTGGTTCATGTGTGACCAGGCTGGGAACAGCTCCCCCTGCTCATTTCCAGGGCAGACGTGGGTCTCTAAGGAGCGCAGGTCCTTCCCCAGGTCCTCTGGGGCCTGAGTGCCTCACAGACGCCGTACTGACTCTGAAGGATTCCACTACAACAGGTTCGGATCCCCCATGCTGTGTAGCCCAGGCTGGCCACTCTACGTCTGTCCCCCAGCAAAGGGCCAGTTCTCTCGGACTTCCCTAATGACGTCCTGAAGACAATTCCTGTCATCAACATGCAGTTCAGATGACCAGAAGCTTCAGACTCCATCTCAAGAGACTCAGGCCGTCTCTACCCCAAGAGTCTGGGGAAAGAGGGCCCTGGGGGAGGAGGGTCCCTGGGGAGGAGGGTCCTGGGGGAAGAGGGCACCCGGTCACCCATGGCTTACAGGGATCCCGTGGCCCACTGCCCCATGGCTGCCTCGGCCTAGTCCCAGCTGGCCTCCCTCCAGCACGCTTATGAATCTAATGATAAAGAGAGGAGAGATGGCAGGAACCCCCCGTGACGTGCCTAGAGAAACAGCACCCGTCAGCTCACAGCGTGGGAAGGTGCAGGAGGGAACAAAGGGTTAGACGTCCTGGACGGAGGACAAACCTGGCTGCATCCTAGGGAAGGACCTCGCGGCTTTCCCATGGATTTGCTGGAAATTAATGCAAATGATTCAAACTTTCTTGAATTTATAATGCATACCATAGGTAGGAATATCAATACAAAATACAACTGAAAACAGCAAAAAGGTATAGGGCACCGTTTATCAACGACAAGGAAAACCTGAAAAATTGTATTTCAGAAATTGCAGAACTAAGTGATGGTGGAAAAGTAGAATTGGTAAAAATAATAAAAACAAGAGCGAATGGAGAAAGGACTGGAACTGCACATTTAGCATCTTCCCTGGACAGTAAGAATCAACAGACAGACAAAGTCTTCATGAAATTTAAGTTTAAAATGCTGAGCTAAGAAAGCCGGATCTGAAGAAATCATAACACAAAGGAAAACACCTCCATGGCGAAAGGTCTAATTGGCAAAACTGACATGGACCAAAGAACTGATTTGAGGAATGAATTTTTAGTGTAAAAGTTTGCACAGAAAGAATTCAACTTGGTGAAAACAATTTCAATGCAATAAAACAAGCATAATACCGTGGAGGTATTTTAAATGCAGTGTCAAGAAAGTTGATGGAGGAGTTGGTTTCATGGAGTTAACTCCGAATCGTAGATTTGCAGTGAAAATATATCAACAATTTGTCACATTAATAACAATCACACCAAAACATACAGTGTGAGACCCCAGACAGCAGGGTGGGTAGAAAACGAGGAGAGTAGAGAAGCAAACACCTTTGTCTCACTAGGAGAGGAAACGTGTTTGCTGAGCACCTGCTGTGTGCCACACCGTGCTGGGTTCTCTCCCCTCCCGTGTCTCTCTCTGCTGTCTCTGTCTCTCTTTCTTCCTATCCCTCTCTGTTCTCCTCCCTACTCCTCACCGCACAATAATGCCCTAAGGTGGAAATAAGATCATGTTTTTAAAAGCTGAAGAATAAGACACAGGGAGGCGAGGCTGGGATTGTGTTGAGCCCATTTGCTGGGAGCAGAATAGGGGTCTCAGGGTAGGTGGTGGGAAGACATTTCCTAATGAGTGACTTGACCTTCTGAGCTCACCTAATCACAGGTCTGGGGGTGCTGTGGTTTTGGTCCAGGATGTTTCTGCCCTGGAGCCCCAGGGTCTTCCCTGTTATGGTCTCTGACTCTGTAACTGCCTGTGTTCTCAAGCGTGTGATGGCACATTAACATCCACTTTTTCATATCTTTCAGCTAAGTGGCATTTTGCAAACTAAATTGGTGCTTGGTAGCGTATTTTTAGAACTCCAGAGTCTAAAATCAACTATAGCCAAATATTTCTCTCCCAAGTTCCCTTGGAAAGGTATTCATTTCATCTATGGCTGTCAATCTTAAAGAAAATTGCTATTTTTCTTGTGAGTGTGGGCTACAGACACTAATATTTATTATAATGATAATGTGATAGATGTTTATAGGGATGTTTGCAAATACAAAATTGTTTATGAATAGGAAATTATAGTCGTATCAGTTTTTGTTACAATTATACATTTCATAGTTCTAATTACAGAACCAGCTAATTTGAAGTTATTTGCTTACAGCCTATTCAATTTTTATTGCTTAGTCTATTTCATGGTTAGCTGAGGGTTTTAATTATTAGTTATTAAAGTTTTTAAGGTTTAAAGACCAAATGATTCATAAAACATAGGGAATATTTCCTGCCACCACCCCATCTAAAACTAGAGACACCATTTAAAGGTTAAAGTACTCTCTTTCCAAAACAGATCAGTATAGTGTCTTGTAGAGAGAGTAGGTGATTATTCAATCTTCACTGGTAATGATTATTTGAAACAACAGCCCTGGCATGTGGAATATAATCTTCTCGCGAGGAGAAGCAGGGCAGCTGTGGCACGACCTCCAGCACCAGACAGGTCTTGGGTTCAAGGATCTGCTCTGGGCCTACCAGCTTTGAGCAAGTAACAGGCTCTCGCTCCACCTCCACATGCTACACTGAAAATGGACACAATCATAGCACTTCATTAAGTTTTCTGGGGCTGCAGTCACAGAGGACCACAGACTTGGCTGCTTAAACAGCAGTTTATGACCTAGAGCTCTGGAGGCAGGAGTCCACATCAAGGTGCCTGCAGGCGGCTCCCCCGGCCTCCCTCCCAGTTCCTGTGGCTGCTGGCGATCTTCCCAGGCCCCAGCTTAGAGAAACCCCACCCTGATCTCTGCCTTCCCGTCAAGATGGCCTTCGCCTGCTCAGCATGACTCTGTCCAAACTCTTCTTTCTAGAGGAACACCAGCTATACTGAATTAGGGGCCCCTCTACTCCAGGACAGTCTCATTTTAACTAATTACACCTGCAGAGACCTTAGTTCCAAATAAGGTTACGTTCTGAGGTCCTAAAGGTCAGGATATAAACATATGTTCTGGGCAATGCACAGTTCAAGCCATGGCAAGCACCTGAGTCAGATGATTGATCAGAAAATCAGAGGAGACAGTGGCTAAGGATGACTTAGCATTACATCTGACACATGGCTTTAGCCATTACTATCACCTCTCTACTGGAAGGAATTTCTCACAGTTGTCTGAATTATGGTGTATGTTAGTTTTGTTAGAAGCTATGAAGCTACTCAGAAATACGTCACTGAAATATCATATGCCGGATAGATCATAAGCTCATGCATCAAATGCAGGCATCTGGGTCAACCACAGCAGTTGTCAGAGGCCTTGCAGAATAACTGAAATGGGGAACTGGCTTTACTACCATATCTCAGCCCCAGAGAGACAGGATGCAGAGCAGATGGCAGGTACAGAGTCTTCCCTTACAAGTGATCACAAAAATAAAAACAACAGAAAAGAGTCCATTAACTGTGGATTCTTGACAAGGCCCTTTGGAAACGATAAAGATCATGGGTAACATCTGGTTGCTAAGCTTTCAAGTTTTTAAAAACCAGTTCCTGTAGGAGGTGCAAAGACTGTAAGAAAAAGATTTCCTGTTCAAGGGGCAGATGTTCCTCAGTGTACTGAGAAGTTGCTAGAAAAATGAAGTTTGCTAGAATGTTGAGTTTCTATTATTGGGAAGATGAGAAACACCCTGGAAGATGGCCTTAGAGTGGGAAAGTCCTGGATAATCCATAGATATGTGGTATCGGGTGAGGCTGGGAGGCTTGGATAATCCATACATGTGTGGTATGGGGTGGTGCTGGGGGCTCCGCCAGTGAGGAGCTCTGAAGGCCGGGGTGGAGGGCGAAGGTGACTGCAGGGGTCATCCTGGCAGAGGGCAGGGCTGGCTGCAGCAGGAGTGTGCACAGGGCATATTGGGGGGGGGAGCCTGGCACTCAGGGAGAGCAGAAGCCGAGAAACTGTGGCCTCTATCTGCAGGTATCCTGGGCATGGCCCTGGGGGCCCAGCCTGGGCCTGCAATGACTTCTTATAGTGTTTGCTGTTATTTTTAATACTGTCTATATAAAATGAACAATTGTGCATTAAAAATGGAAGGGATGCTCAAGGAGTTTGGTGCTCAAGAGCAGCAAGGTGAGAGGCAGCAGCAAGGTGAGAGGCAGCAGCAAGGTGAGAGGCAGCAGCAAGGTGAGAGGCAGCAGCAAGGTGAGAGGCAGCAGCAAGGTGAGAGGCAGCAGCAAGGTGAGAGGCAGCAGCAAGGTGAGAGGCAGCAGCAAGGTGAGAGGCAGCAGCAAGGTGAGAGGCAGCAGCAAGGAACAGAGCCGGTTCCTCAGGGCTAGGGACATGGACCAGCTGCCGCACCTGAGGAAGCCTCGAGGGGCTCTTTCTGCAGAGAGCACTCTCACAGGGCAGGGCCTCTCAGGTGCGGGTCTGAGTCTTTCAACAGCAGCGCCATTTTTAACATGAAAGTTCAACTTCCAATTTCTGCCCTCAAGGGAGGGAATAAAACTGAAGAATAAAACTTTTTATTCATGGATGACCTTTTTTCTCTGAGAAACCTTTGTAAGAATCTTTACTCCTAACAAGAGACTACTTCAATGCAATCATTTAGTGTTAGAAAAGTGTTCCATATTGCTGAATGTTCGTCCACAGATACCTGACACCACCTAAGGTGTACAAATGATCACTCCACTTTCATTATTTAAAGCATAATGAAAGATCCGGAGAGTCTATTACGTTGTACAAAATAGCTCTGAGATCAATGCCTTTGAGATACCAGTAACCTGTGTTAGCTTCGGGAAAATAAAGCAGCTTCATTGCAGCCATGTCCAGAGGAAAGGAGATTGCTTTGTGTCTAAGTAACAGTCAAAAAGTGAAGGACTTACCACCTGCAAATCACCGTCGAGGTGAGACCTGCGAAGCCTCCGATCAGCAGAGCAGCCAGCGACATGGAGATCCAAGTCACCCGAGGGAGCCTCCCGGAGTCTGGGGCACAGAAAGAGGCCTGGTTAGAAGAACCTTCCAGGGCCTGGGCAAGCCAGGTTGTCCTGCCTGAGTCTGGGCCATACCCTGTCCTGGGCCAGTGGCCTTCACCCCACAGCATGACGCAGGGAGGGAGGGACATTTATCTGCCCAGAAAAGCCATTTAGACCACTAAGTCCAGATCCGAATGTGACGTGTGTGGGGAGAGCCAGCAGGGGACACAGGGCAGAGAAGTTAGCTCTCTCTATGGAACCTCACTGTGGGTTCGGCATGGACGCGTCCTGCAGGACAGAAAGCACACCTTGCTGCCCAAACCAGGGAGGGCTCTCAGTGCCCTCGGAGTGGACCACAGGACCCAGGGAGCCCTGGAGGCCTCGGACCGGGGCGGGAAAGGTTCGCAAGGTGGGCTGTAAGGGACGCGGTATAACGCTGTGAGGTTTTGCCCTTGGCTGCATTTTATCTTTCCCAGAAGCCTCCTGGAGGTGAAACCGTGGTTGAAGGAAGGTGGACAGCACCTTGCAGAGCTGGAGCCCTGGGGGGACGGGGGCACGGGATGGCAGCAGATTTTGGAGCTCATCCTGGGTCTCATCAGCCAATTCCAGAAAGAAACCGAACAAGGTTGGTGGGAATCAGACAGAGAAGTGCAGGCCTGATGGGACAGAGGAGAGAGGCAGCCCAGGAGCCGGCCCCAGAGCATCTGGTGAGGGGCCTGAGGAAGTGCCTCCCACCTGGACCTGTGTCTTCATCTGAAAAAGCCGGGGACTGAGTAACGGCTCCTGGGCTCCAGCCCTTGGCTTCTGTGCTTTCTGCAAGGAGCTGCCAGCCTGGGGCCACTGCGGCTCTGAACTCAGAGCTCCTTTGACCACAGTTTTATTACCGACTTTTCTGTTTGGATACCCATTCGAGGTGGCCGAGGAGAAATCCAAGATGAAACGAAAACTGACTTTTAAATAAGAATTTAAATACTACCAATCAGCGTTTTTTTTTTAAACAAACATGGGTCGCCCTGGATAAACATCATCACGTGTGGTTGAAGATAGGCTCTGGGGCTAAGAGAGCACATTCAGGTACCAGACAGAGGCAGCGGCTGGGGGAATGGGTGCTTGGTTTGGTTCTATTTCTCACACTGGATTTTTTAAAGTCGGTGATGAATGCGTCTGTGGGTGACTGCGGTTCCCTGTGCCACTTAGCACCTGGGCATGATTTGCAGGTGTGTCTCATTTGCAGCCCGGACACAGGTCGTGTCCATGGCTGTCTTCCTATCATGGGTCTTTCCCAGCCCAGACACAGGTGGTGTCCGTGGCTGTCTTCCTCGCATGGGTCTTGGACACTCAGCAAGCATTTGTTGGATACAAGAATGAATGAATAAACCCTAAATGCGCATCCTGACTGTTTCTCCAAAACGATCCTGTCCTCTTAGCCTTTGCACCTCATGACTTTTCCTCCTGGGCTCCTCTAACCATCCTCCCGCCTCCAGGATCTCCTTCCTGCCACCTTTCACAGACGCAGGGGAGTCTGCAGGGCAACCTGAGCACACCAGCCTCTTGCTAAAAGCCCATGGGGAGCAGAGCTGCTTGCTGGCCCTGGGATGCCGCTCCTCCTGCATCCAGAAAGAGGCTGGGTTCTTGTTTCCATCTGCTGCTACTCGCTCTCACCCCCATGGCTGCTAGAGGTGGGGGCTCCGCCTGTGTGCCTGGGGCTGGGGGTGCGGGGAAGGCTGAGCTGATCGAGGCCTGGGTGGGAATTCCAGGTAAGCACAGGCCAGGTCAGGGCAGTCAGGACAGGGCAGCCGTGGAAATTCATTCTGGAATTGGTGTTTGACATTTCCGGCTGGATTTGGTTCTGAGAAACTTGGGCTGGAGGGGCCACCTGTGGAACTTCAAAAACCAGCAAAGCCAGGCATCTGACATCAGAGCCTTGAGTGAGAGGAGGAGCCACGTCCTGGGCCGTGGCGAGCATCTGATTGAAGCCCACCTCACACCAGCAAACGGCAGACCCACAGCAGGGACGTAAGCAGCTCCATGTTTACCCAAAAGTGTGAAACGAGCCTGGGCAGGGGGAAGGCCAGATGCCGCACAGCAGAAACTTTCCTTTATTCTTTGCTCCAAATTTTTGTTTCTTGGCATTTTCAATTTCAAGAGCCAGTAAATCCGCTTGGAACCAGATTGAAGGCTGTGTGCTTCTGGGAGATACCCAGCTGAGACAGGTCCTGAAGCCCCTGCATGTCCTACGGGGGCATCACAAAGGTCACGGCTGCTGCCGGAGTGGCTTTCCGACCTCTTCAGTGCCACCCCGGGGAGCCCTGGAGTTCTCTGCTGTGGGCGTGGGTGCCCCTCTGGTGGGGCTGGGCAAGGGGGAGTCCCTGAGGCTGGGTGAAGGCCAACGAGGGCCTTTGGAAAGAAACGGCATCGGGTTTGGGCAGGCCCTGGGCAGACAGAGGGCACTGGGATTTTGGAGAATTCAGGTCAGAATAACATGACTGGGATGGTTAATTTTATGTGTCCGCTTGACTGGAGCACAGGCGCCCAGATTAGACATTATTCCCACTGTGTTTTTGAGTTGGGTCCTGGAAGGGATCAGCATTGGAATCTGTGGTCTGAGAAAAGCAGACGGCTCTCCCCAACATGGGTGGGCCCTGTCCCATCCTTCCAGGGCCCCAGTAGAGCAGGAAGTGGAGGAAAAAGGGCTTCACTTCTCTTTTCCTGACTCTCTGCTTGAGCTGGGACATCTCATTGCAGCTTCACCTGCCCTCAGACTGGAACTGCCCCGCCAGCTCCCCTGGGGCTCCAGTTTGCAGACAGCAGATCCTGGGACTCCTCAGCCTCTCTAATTTCATGACCAATTCTGCAGAATAGAGATGCTTTCACATATCGGTACATAGAGCTAGAAGCACATGTAAAACTATGTCTATGTATGGGTAACTACCTCTATATTTACATCTATACCAAAATCTATATTGTGTCTATATCTAAACTTACATAGGTATAGCTACACCTAAATCTATTCTATACCTATGTGTAAATTTATATCTATATTTTTATATCTGCATCTGTACCTAAAACTATATATACCCACAATCAGTATCTATATCTAAATCAGTATAACTATATCTATGTCTACATATTTGTTATCTATATCTATGTTCAATCTATGTAAATCTATATATAGTATATCTACATATATCCATATTTAAATCGATATCTATATCTAAATCTACGTAACTACATCTACAAACTGTGTCTCTATGGATGTCTCTAATCTATAACTATTTCTATACATACATCTGCATCTCTGATTGCTCCTGTTTCTCTGGAGACTCCGTCTAATACGATCAGCACACGGGCTGGCCGGGGCCAGAGCTCTCGCAGGCCAGGGGAGTGTGAGCTCCTCTCACAGCCATGCCTCATCTTCCAGGCCTTGGCATCCTTGTCTGTGAGTCACTGTGAGGACGGAAGGAGAAGCCGTGGCACCTGTTTATGAATCTCTCAGACATGGGCCCTGGTGCCCACCTTCCCTGGAACCTCTGGCCTCCAGCCAGGGCTCGTAGGAGGGGCTGTAAATATGGCTCAGCTGTTGCTCCTGGGTCACTCTCAGCCCTCAGCACCTGAGCGCATGTCCACTCAGCCGAGGCCTCTGCTGCTGTCTGTGTCCACCCTTCCTCATGCAGGCAGGCTTGGGTTTCACGCTGTCATTCTGAAAACTGAGGGACAGCCATGTCCATCACCCTTTTGGGTGTTCCAGCCAGCAGTGACAGAGCTGGTGCATCCAGGGACAGTGCTGGGTCCTGCTGGCCTGCTCCGTCTGTACAGAGAGGGCACTGATGGCTGCGCCATCTGTACGGAGAGGGCACTGACGGCTGCTTGCACGGGAGCAGGGCTCTTTCATCAGGGACGTGTGTGGCCTCCGTGCAACAACAGTTAGGCTTGTGCGTCAGGGATGCAGAAAGGTCATGCCCAGCATCCTAATTTTCCATGGTCATTTTTGCAGGGGCAGCAGTATAATCATAAGGGTGCTGGTGGTGGGGGAAGCACTGAAGCCAGCATCCCCAGCTGTTCACCTCCCAGCTCCTGAGATGCTCTGGGGGCACTTTCCCTCCCTCAGTCCCTTCCTTAGAAGGAGAAGGTCACTGTCCACCATCGTCCACCATCAGGCTCCACCGGCGGCCTGGCCCAGTGCCTCCGGAGGGCCTGAGTCACAGCCAGGGAGGTCAGGGAGGTACACGGCAGCTGTCGGAGAGGAAGCTCCTCGGAGGCAGCCAGCTGCTTGAGGGGCTGCAGGGCTCAGCGGGAAGACGTGTTCTGCGGCGGACCCTGACTTCAGGTTCGGCAGCCAGGAGCCCAGCAGGGGCGGAGCGGGGCAGGGACAGCACCATGCAAGCATCACATCCATCACACAGAACCAGAAGGCAGCGCGGAGCGCACAGCTGCCCTGAGCACGGGCGCTGGTCCGGGCCGGGCTCAGGGGCTCTCTCGGACGCCCTTGGCGGGGGCAGGATCTGGAGAGGCAGATGGACAGTGTCCAGGCAGGAGGATTCCTTAGCAAAGAGGTAGCACTGGGAGGGAACGTCTCAACTCTAGAGACACATTTGGCTTCAGCGTTTATAGAAAAGAGTCCTTAAGATGTAGGAAATACATCCTGGCTAACATGGTGAAACCCCGTCTCTACTAAAAATACAAAAACAAAAATTAGCCGGGCGTGGTGGCGGGCGCCTGTAGTCCCAGCTACTCGGGAGGCTGAGGCAGGAGAATGGCGTGAACCCGGGAGGTGGAGCTTGCAGTGGGCTGAGATCGCGCCACTGCACTCCAGTCTAGGCGACAGAGCGAGACTCCGTCTCAAAAAAAAAAAAGATGCAGGAAATAGATAAATGTATGTTGTAATTGTTCTCAGGACAAAAACTAAAACAAGACGTTTGAAACAAAATATTGGAAATTAGTTTATGCAACTCATGCTCCTGTTGTATACACTTCTTCTAAAGTTTTATTCTGAAGATTAAAAGATGGCACTATGGACCAATTGGCTGTCGTGGGCTGAACCGGGTCTCCCAGATTCTCATGCTGAATCCCCAACACCCTGGGCCTCAGAATGTGGCTGATTTGGGGATGGAGCATTTGAGGAGGTAATTGCAGTGGCATGGGGATGTCACTGTGGGCCGTGGCCCAAGGCAGCTATGTCCTTATGAGATGAGGAGATGAGGCCATGGACACACAGAGGGACTGCCCTGGGAGGACATGGGGAGAAGGTGGTATCTGCAGCCAAGGGGTGAGTCCTCAGGGGGAGCCAACCGTGCCCTCCCCTTGATCTTGGACTCCAGCCTCCAGGACTTGCTGAGAGAGAAATCTCTTGTTCAAGTGCCCAGTCTGCAGGGCTGCGCTGTGGCACCCCCAGTCTGCAGGGCTGCGCTGTGGCACCCCCAGTCTGCAGGGCTGCGCTGTGGCACCCCCAGTCTGCAGGGCTGCGCTGTGGCACCCCCAGTCTGCAGGGCTGCGCTGTGGCACCCCCAGTCTGCAGGGCTGCGCTGTGGCACCCCCAGTCTGCAGGGCTGCGCTGTGGCACCCCCAGTCTGCAGGGCTGCGCTGTGGCACCCCCAGTCTGCAGGGCTGCGCTGTGGCACCCCCAGTCTGCAGGGCTGCGCTGTGGCACCCCCAGTCTGCAGGGCTTTGCTGTGGCACCCCCAGTCTGCAGGGCTGTGCTGTGGCACCCCCAGTCTGCAGGGCTGTGCTGTGGCACCCCCAGGAAATGAATACAGTTCCTTTAACCGCAACGTTAGGAACAAAACACTGCAAAAGCAGAGCTCCCTCTATAATTATATCAGCGCCTGAATCTATATGTGTATCTACATCTAAACTTATGTAGGGAGAGCTGTACCGAAATCTAAATCTATTCTTTTATATCGATGCCTGAATCTATATGTGTATCTACGTCTAAACTTATATAGGGAGAGTTGTACCGAAATCTAAATCTATTCTTTTATACCTATATGTAAATTTATATCTATATCTATATATCTGCATCTGTGCCTATATCTAAACTGTCTCTATCCATAATCAATATCTGTATCTAAATCTAAGTCTGTAAATCACCACGGAGACAGGAGAAGCCCTGGGCACCTGTGTATTAATCTCTCAGACATGGGCCCTGGTGCACAGAATGGTCTTAGGCTCATGTGCTCCTGGCCCCGGTCACGGTGCAGGCATTCAAAGGGGGCCCAGGAGGAAGAGAGGTAGTGGGCAAGTTCTCTTAGGCACCAACACATCTTTGGGTGCTCTCCGGGAGGAGGAAGAGACGTAGTGGGTGAGCCCTCTTAGGCACGAATTCATCTCTGGGTGCTCTCCCAGGGCTGTTCCTGACCTCCACTGGGACTCCTTTCTCCTTCTTTCTGTGGGTGAGTCCAGAAGAAAACATTGGGAGGGATGGAGGGTGGTGGCTTCAGCTGGAGTACAGCAGTAGAAGTGTTTCCTGGGGCCCCATGGAGCCATCTGACAGGGTTAGATATTATCAAAAATACAGCAAGTGCTTCTGGGCTGTAGTCCAGCAAAACTGCAGTCTTGACGTAAATGCCCCACTGCCTTCACCTGAGCAGGGTTCTGAATCCGCTTTCTTAGGTTTGTAATAATAATGCGGAAAGCAGCTGAGCTCCTCTCTGTGAATGTGGCAGCTTCGCTACCTGGCTACCTTTGCAATTCACATCTGAACCATTGATTTAAACATTTTATTTAAAAATCTGAATGCAAGAGCTGCTGTTTCTAATTTTCCATGATTGAGAGTGCTCTGGTTTGAAAGGAAGAGAGGATACTATTTCATATGGAGAAAAAACATGAATAAAACCAGAGGCTGATAAAACAATGAGTGTGAGGGGGAAATGCTGTGCAGAGAGAGGACACCTGAAACAAGAGGGTGTGGTGTCCCTGAAACGAGAGGGTATCCTGTGCCTGAAAGAAGAGGGGGGGTGTGCCTGAAACAACAGGGTGGGGTGTCCCTGAAACAAGAGGGTGTGGTTTCCCAGAAACAAGAGAGTGGGGTGTGCCTGAAGCAAGAGGGTGTGTGTGCCTGAAACAAGAGGGTGTCCTGTTCCTGAAATAAGAGGTGCGGTGTCCCTGAAACAAAAGGGTAGGGTGTCCCTGAAAGAAGGGGGTGGGGTGTCCCTGAAACAAGAGGGTGGGCTGTGCCTGACAGAAGAAGGGGGGTGTGCCTGAAACCAGAGAGTGTGGTTTGCCCTAAACAAGAGGGTGGGGTGTGCCTGAAAGAAGAGGGTGGGGTGTGCCTGACACAGGAGGGTATCCTGTGCCTGAAACAAGAGGATGGGGTATCCCCGAAAGAAGAGGGTGGGGTGTCCCTGAAACAAGAGGGTATCCTGTGCCTGAAACAAGAGGTTGTGGTTTCCCAGAAACAAGAGGGTGGGGTGTCCCTCAAACAAGAGGGTATCCTGTGCCTGAAACAGGAGGATGTGGTGTCCCTGAAACAAGAGGGTGTGGTGTCCCTGAAACAAGAGGCTGTGCTGTCCCTGAAAGAAGAGGGTATCCTGTGCCCGATACAAGAGGGTGTGGTGTCCCTGAAAGAAGAGGGCGGGTGTGCCTGACACAGGAGTGGGGGTGTGCCTCTCCTCAGCAGATGTAAAAGAACAGAAATAACAAACCGTCTCTCCGACCACAGTGCAATCAAACTAGAACTCAGGATTCAGAAACTCACTCAAAACCGCTCAACTACATGGAAACTGAACAACCTGCTCCTGAATGACTACTGGATACATAACAAAATGAAGGCAGAAATAAAGATGTTCTTTGAAACGAACGAGAACAAAGACACAACATACCACAATCTCTGGGACACATTCAAAGCAGTGTGTAGAGGGAAATTTATAGCACTAAATGCCCACAAGAGAAAGCAGGAAAGATCTAAAATTGACATCCTAACATCACAATTAAAAGAACTAGAAAAGCAAGAGCAAACACATTCAAAAGCTAGCAGAAGGCAAGAAATAACGAAGATCAGAGCAGAACTGAAGGAAATAGAGATACATAAAACCCTTCAAAAAATTAATGAATCCAGGAGCTGGTTTTTTGAAAAGATCAACAAAATTGATAGACCGCTAGCAAGACTAATAAAGAAGAAAAGAGAGAAGAATCAAATAGACGCAACAAAAAATGATAAAGGGGATATCACCACTGATCCCAAAGAAATACAAACTACCATCAGAGAATACTATAAACACCTCTACGCAAATAAACTAGAAAATCTAGAAGAAATGGATAAATTCCTCGACACATACTTCTTCCCAAGACTAAACCAGGAAGAAGTTGAATCTCTGAATAGACCAATAACAGGCTCTGAAATTGAGGCAATAATCAATAGCTTACCAACCAAAAAAAGTCCAGGACCAGATGGATTCACAGCCGAATTCTACCAGAGGTACAAGGAGGAGCTGGTACCATTCCTTCTGAAACTATTCCAATCAATACAAAAAGCGGGAATCCTCCCTAACTCATTTTATGAGGCCAGCATCATCCTGATACCAAAGCCGGGCAGAGACACAACCAAAAAAGAGAATTTTAGACCAATATCCTTGATGAACATTGATGCAAAAATCCTCAATAAAATACTGGCAAACCGAATCCAGCAGCAAATGAAAAAGCTTATCCACCATGATCAAGTGGGCTTCATCCCTGGGATGCAAGGCTGGTTCAACATACGCAAATCGATAAATGTAATCCAGCATATAAACAGAATCAAAGACAAAAACCACATGATTATCTCAATAGATGCAGAAAAGGCCTTTGACAAAATTCAACAACCCTTCATGCTAAAAACTCTCAATAAATTAGGTATTGATGGGAAGTATCTCAAAATAATAAGAGCTATCTATGACAAACCCACAGCCAACATCATACTGAATGGGCAAAAACTGGAAGCATTCCCTTTGAAAACTGGCACAAAACAGGGATGCCTTCTCTCACCACTCCTATTCAACATAGTGTTGGAAGTTCTGGCCAGGGCAATCAGGCAGGAGAAAGAAATAAAGGGTATTCAATTAGGAAAAGAGGAAGTCAAATTGTCCCTGTTTGCAGATGACATGATTGTATATCTAGAAAACCCCATCATCTCAGCCCAAAATCTCCTTAAGCTGATAAGCAACTTCAGCAAAGTCTCAGGATACAAAATCAATGTACAAAAATCACAAGCATTCTTATACACCAATAACAGACAAACAGAGAGCCAAATCATGAGTGAACTCCCATTCACAATTGCTTCAAAGAGAATAAAATACCTAGGAATCCAACTTACAAGGGATGTGAAGGACCTCTTGAAGGAGAACTACAAACCACTGCTCAATGAAATAAAAGAGGATACAAACAAATGGAAGAACATTCCATGCTCATGGGTAGGAAGAATCAATATGGTGAAAATGACCATACTGCCCAAGGTAATTTATAGATTCAATGCCATCCCCATCAAGCTACCAATGACTTTCTTCACAGAATTGGAAAAAACTACTTTAAAGTTCATATGGAACCAAAAAAGAGCCCACATTGCCAAGTCAATCCTAAGCCAAAAGAACAAAGTGGGAGGCACCACACTACCTGACTTCAAACTATACTACAAGGCTACAGTAACCAAAACAGCATGGTACTGGTACCAAAACAGAGATATAGACCAATGGAACAGAACAGAGCCCTCAGTAATAATGCCACATATCTACAACTATCTGATCTTTGACAAACCTGACAAAAACAACAATGGGGAAATGATTCCCTATTTAATAAATGGTGCTGGGAAAACTGGCTAGCCATATGTAGAAAGCTGAAACTGGATCCCTTCCTTACACCTTATACAAAAATTAATTCAAGATGGATTAAAGACTTACATGTTAGACCTAAAACCATAAAAACCCTAGAAGAAAACCTAGGCAATACCATTCAGGACATAGGCATGGGCAAGGACTTCATGTCTAAAACACCAAAAGCAATGGCAACAAAAGCCAAAATTGACAAATGGGATCTAATTAAACTAAAGAGCTTCTGCACAGCAAAAGAAACTACTATCAGACTGAACAGGCAACCTACAGAATGGGAGAAAATTTTTGCAACCTACTCATTTGACAAAGGGCTAATATCCAGAATCTACAATGAACTCAAACAAATTTACAAGAAAAAAACAAACAACCCCATCAAAAAGCGGGTGAAGGATATGAACAGACACTTCTCAAAAGAAGACATTTATGCAGCCAAAAAACACATGAAAAAATGCTCACCATCACTGGCCATCAGAGAAATGCAAATCAAAACCACAATGAGATACCATCTCACACCAGTTGGAATGACAATCATTAAAAAGTCAGGAAACAACAGGTGCTGGAGAGGATGTGAAGAAATAGGAACACTTTTACACTGTTGGTGGGACTGTAAACTAGTTCAACCATTGTGGAAGGCAGTGTGGCGATTCCTCAGGGATCTAGAACTAGAAATACCATTTGACCCAGCAATCCCATTACTGGGTATACACCCAAAGGACTATAAATCATGCTGCTATAAAGACACATGCACACATATGTTTATTGCAGCACTATTCACAATAGCAAAGACTTGGAACCAACCCAAATGTCCAACAATGATAGACTGGATTAAGAAAATGTGGCACATATATACCATAGAATACTATGCAGCCATAAATGATGAGTTCATGTCCTTTGTAGGGACATGGATGAAACTGGAAACCATCATTCTCAGCAAACTATCCCAAGGACAAAAAACCAAACACCGCATGTTCTCACTCATAGGTGAGAATTGAACAATGAGAACACATGGACACAGGAAGGGGAACATCACACACCAGGGCCTGTTGTGGGGTTGGGGGAGGGGGGAAGGATAGCATTAGGAGATATACCAAATGTTAAATTAGGAGATATACCAAATGTTAAATGACGAGTTAATGGGTGCAGCACACCAACATGGCACATGTATACATATGTAACAAACCTGCACGTTGTGCACATGTACCCTAAAACTTAAAGTATAATAATAATAAAACTAAAAAAAAAAAAACTGCCAAAAAGAAAGCCACAAGAATTTCTCCGCAACCCCTAAGTAAACAAATGGTTCCTTTGCATGGACACAGAAAGGAGAACAGCACACACTGGGGCCTGTTGAGGGGTGGAGGATGAGGGGAGGAACTTAGAGGATGGGTCAATAGGTGCAGCAAACCACCATGGCACACGTATACCTATGTAACAAACCTGCATGTTCTTCACATCATTTATCACTTTTTTTTTAGAAGAAATAAAAACAAACAACAACAACAACAAAAGGAGTGGGGGTGTGCCTGACATGGGGGTTGGGGGCTGTACCTGACACAGGAGGGGGGTTGTGCTTGACACAGGATGGTGGTGGGGGTGTGCCTGACACGGGGTGGGGGGGATGCGCCTGACACAGGAAGAGGGGTGCACCTGACATGGGGGTGGGAGGGTGTGCGTGACACAGGATGGGGCAGTGTGCCTGACACAGGCTGGTGGGGTGTGCCTGACACGGGGGTGGGGGTGTGTGCCTGACACAAGCTGGTGGGGTGTGCCTGACTCAGGAGAGTGGGATGTGCCTGATATAGGATAGTGGGGTGCGCCTGACACAGGAGGGGGTGCGCCTGACACAGGAAGGGGGTGTATGCCTGACACAGGAGTGGGGGACGTGCCAGTCAAGCGGATGTAGCTTGAGAGCCCCAGAAAGAGCCTCCCCAGCCTCTGAAGGCCCCGGGCAGCCGCGTCCTGGCCATCTCTTTTCAGACTCACTTGCTTGATAACTGGCCTTGACCCTGGCCCTTGTGCCCTTCGCTGAGGAGCTGAGTTTCAGCAAGAATCCTATTATTCCAGTTTAGCAGAAGCTCCTCAATGCAGTTGAGTCATGAAGCGTTTTGCACTGACCCCTCTCCGCCCTGGCTGGACGTCCCAGCTACCTTTGCTGCATTTGAGCCTTGCACTTGGTTCTTTCTGGAGACCTCTCTCCCCTATGACAGTAGCTCAAAGGAAGTCTGTCTGTAACTTGAGTCTGGTAAATAATTATTTTTCTATAAGAGCTGGAAGCCAGACTATTAACACAAATTCCCGGCCAGCTACGGAGTGGCTGTGTGACCAGGAGCGTCTCTCGCCCTCTCTTATCACTAGTATCCTCTTCTATAAAATGAAGATTAAAGATAGTGCTTACCTAAGAGCCACAATTTTCAGGGGAGTAAATTCGTCAAAAGTTTGGGCGTAGCTGGCACCTGGCTTGGAGGCAGCGGTGAGGAAGACGCTGTCCCTGAGCTGAGTGCAGAGCTGGGGGACTGGACAAGGCCATCCGAGGCAGATGTTGAGCACCCAGGCCCCATGCCGGGCGGGGACATCCGGAGGTGGAGGTGGGAGAACAGGCAGGCAGCTGTGCTGCTGGCCCTGGTCAGGGTGCAGTCGGGTGCATTTGGAGGGGTCCCAGGAGGAGGAGAGGTGATGGATGGGTCTGTAATGAATCCTGCCTGTTTCATAGGTTTTTTGTCTGGGGTGTGATCTAGGCTGGGTATACACCTGTGGGCCTTGTCTGGCAATGCATTCTGGCTGCCGTCCCCAGCCTCAGTGTGCTTCGAGGGTCTCTGCAGACAGCAGGCACACGAAGTGCATCCTCTGCCCCCAGCACAGCGCAGACGCCCCTCGGGCACCGTGGGCTTGGTGTCTTATTCATCTCCGCCCTTCCCAATCAAGATGGTGATTGACAGTTGCCTAACTTGAACACACTTTTCTTCATTTTACAAAAACTCGCAAATGGACGGACAGAGAGAGAGGGGAACAGCCTCACCTACGCAGGTTCTCCCATCGTCTCCTAACTCGTAGGGGTCCGCGCAGAGACACTGGAAGCCGCCTTTGGTGTTTCTGCACCTCGCAGAGGCGTGGCAGGGGGGGTGGGCACCGTCTGCACACTCGTTCACATCTGCCAGACACACAAGGCCACACACGTGAGAGGAAGCGGCTGCACCCCCATCTCCCGCGAGCGACCCCCGTTCTGGGAGGTGCTTCTCTCTGGGGAGGTCAGCCCTTTGCCTGCCATCCCACCTGGTCTAGGGGGAACCGGCCGCCCCCTGCTCCCGGCACATCCGAAAAGGTGATGAGGAGCAGACAGATGTGCGCTGGCCACGGGCTCTGAGCCTGCAGGGAGTCCACACACTGGGGCTCACTCAGGCCCGAGTCACAGGAGACTTCCTGGAGGAAATCAGGGTCTGCCTGGGAATGTGGAATTTGGCCAAGTGCAGGACACGGGGGCAGGAAGGGGCCAGGGTGAGGGTGGGGCAGGGTCTGCTTCGCCCAGGCAGATGCTCCCAGCTGGCCGGCAGGTCCTCTGAGAGCAAGGACTGGGGCCACCTGCCACCGCCAGTGAGGATGTGGGGTCCCCTCCTGCTCCTGCTCCCCCTGCACAAGAATCCTACAACCTAGTATCTCATCCCCTAGGCGTATGTTTCCAGATAACCTGCTGTACATTTTGTTCAAATAATGTTCCTTTTCTGGCCAGTTTTAGAAAAGAAGCTGTAGCGTGTCACAGGTCTTCTCTACATGCCCAGTGCGCATTCTCTAAATGGAGCAGGTGCTGTCAGTGTGGGGAACACGAGCTCTTCCAGGAGCTGCTCTGTCTGGAGGGAACAGAGCTGGCCTGGGTGCAGCCTCCGCCGAGGGCCAGGCTGGAGGCAGCAACCTCCCTGCACTCCTGGGGCCCTGGTGCTGACGACATCCCTAGACAGAGCAAAAGCACTGGGAGAGGTGGAGGGACCCTCCCCAGTCTCACCGCTGAGTGGAGGAGCCGGGGTCCACATAGGCCACAGGGTCTTGGTCCCCGACTCGGCCACCCCAGGACGATGAGAATGTGCGAACCTGGGCAGTGCTCAGGCGACCCAGTGCCGGAGACCCGTGAGGCCTCGAAGGCCAGCTGGGGTGGTCGGCTGGCCACCTGCTCCCCAGGGTGAGGGGCTGCATTGGATGGGACTGCCCACTCCTAACCCCGGGGGAGGCTTGGCCCATGCTGGTTTTCTCAGTTACAGAATGGGTATCATTATGTCAGCTGTGAAAAATGGGCGTGGAATCAAAGACGATGCTTATGACAACTAGCAGGGTGTCAGGGATATCTCAGGCTTTCTAAACAGTACGGTCTTTAATAATGCCATTATTGATAATGACAACCATTCTATAAGAGTATAAGAAGTCGGGTCCGGTGGCTCATGCCTGTAATCCCAGCACTTTGGGAGGCTGAGGTGGGTAGATCACCTGAGGTCAGGAGTTTGAGCCCAGCCTGGCCAACATGGTGAAATCCCATCTCCACTAAAAATACAAAAATGAGCTGGGTGCAGTGGTGGGTGCCTGTAATCCCAGCTACTCAGGAGGCTGAGGCAGGAGAATCACTTGAGCTCAGGAAGCGGAGGTTGCAGTGAGCAGAGATTGCGGCACTGCACTCCAGCCTGGGTGACAGAGTGAGACTCTGTCTCAAAAAAATAAAAAGAAGTATAAGAAAAGGGTCAAGAAATTTCAAGGGATTGGAGCTATTGACTATCGGCTGTTAATTGTCTCTATCTAGCAGCAGCTATTAAAGTGTTTCATGTACAGGTAACCATGTCAAGGCTGTTAAACCTAGAAGGTCTTTCTTGGCTAAAGCTGCCCCTGGAACCAGCCCCTCCTGCATCCCGTTATGCAGAGCTGTGGAGCACCAGAGCTGTGTGAAGGCATCTGCAGCCGCCTCTGGGGTAGGGAGTGTTTCCATCATGATCGTGTGAAAAATCAAAGTCATCACCCATGAACGCTACAAGCCCATTTTCTCTCCATCCCCTGGGATGTGCAATGGGGTCCTCAGAATGGGAATGGCAGCTGCCAACACATCCCTGCATCCCTCTCGGGGAGTTCCCTTGGAGCAGCTTCTGCCCCCTCTCCTCACCCCATCCCTGCAGTTCAGACTCATCCTTATGAGTTCCCTGTGGCTGCTGGGAAAAATCATCACAAAGTGGATGGCTCCAAGCAACAGAAATGCATCCTCCAAGAGTTCTAGAGGTCACAGGTCTGAAATCAGGGTGTCGGCCGGGTGGTGCTCCTTCAGCAGGCTCTCGGGAGTCGGGGGGCGTCCTTCCTGCATGCCCTGGCTCCTGGTGGGTCCTGGGGGGCCCATGCCTGGCAGAAGCTTTATTTCCATCCTGGGTCTTCACAGGGTCCCGTCTGTGTCTTGTCTCTGCTTCCTATGAGGGCACTGCACATTGGAGCAGGATGCACCCGACAGCCTCACTTTAACTCGACGGCACCTGCAAAGGCCTTGCTTCTTCATCAGGCCACATGCAGAGGTACACGGGGCTAGAACTTGAGCATAGCTTTTTGGGGGCACAGTTTGGCCCACAACGCTCCACCCACGGTCAGTTTCTTCTAAGCAGAAGGCCGAGTCAGGGGCCAGCGCTGTGTAGGTCTCCTTCCCAGGATGGACAGGAAGGAGGGGGACAAATCGGCCTTGTCTGAAGAGCAGCGCTCCCGACAGAGGAGGAAACCAGCCTCAGCCGCAGTGTCCCCAGATACCAGGGTGACCTGCATGGAGGCCGAGGCTCTGCTCTCCGACTGCTTCGCCTTGAGTTTCAAGAAGAGTGGCCGTGGTGTCCACACATCTCCACGCGCAGTGAGTGCGCAGATGGCTGTGGTGTCCAGTCTCCACATGCAGTGAGTGCACAGATGTTTCCATTTCTCTAAGTAAATTAGTACTGGTTGCGAACTGTATTTTCCATAATATGCACAAAGCATTTATGTATATTCGTTTACTGCATAACCTCCTGACAATAACTCATGGAAAAAGCCACTGACTCACAGCTTTTTATCTATTTGAAATTTGCAGCATCCAGGCACTCAGAGGAGACTCACTGCAATGCATTTGCCAGTTTTTTTTTTTTTTTTTGAGAGGGAGTCTCACTCTGTTGCCCAGGCTGGAGTGCAGTGGTGCAATCTCGGCTCACTGAAACCTCCATCTCCCGGGTTCAAGCAATTCTCTTGCCTCAGCCTCCTGGGTAGCTGGGATTACAGGCGCCTACCACCATGCCCGGCTAATTTTTCTTCTTTGTATTTTTAGTAGAGACGGGGTTTCACCATCTTGGCCAGGCTGGTGTTGAACTCCTGACTTCATGATCCACCTGCCTCGGCCTCCCAAAGTGCTGGGATTACAGGCATAAACCACCACGCCCGGCCTTAATATCAAGTTTTTATGTGAATGAGTTTGAGTGAATAAGTAGAATTTGAATAGAGAAGAGAGCAGCGAATACTATTTGTTTTTCTGTATCAAATATTCAGTTAAGCCCGTAGCCTTCCTTTCTGTAGCCGCAGATGTGTTGATGAGGTTTCACTGAGGATCTCCTTGAGTGCTTATATTCTTATCAATTTACCATAAACGTAAAGTTTCCTGTCTGTTATACTTGAGTTTTTTCCCTTGTGATTCTCGATTTTGAAACTTCTAGTGCAGGGAACAGCTGTAGTAAAAATATCTGTGCACACGCATTTGTACCAGATTTTGGAGTTTTGTCATTTATCTCTAAGATATATTTTAATTACAGATATGATAAAACAAACAAAAAAAAGAGTTGTATTGATGAAGGTTAGCAATCTCTCCTACCTGTCCCCATCTCAGGCTGCCGAGGTCTCCAGTATTAACAGGTTCTGGAGCAGAGCCTAGCGCTCCCCTCACATTCGGGAGGACACTCATCAAAGTGATGTGTGTGCCTGTGGCCCACTGCTTTAAAAAAAACCCGAACAGATTCCCAATGTACACATTGCTGTGTAGCTTACATGCTTATTGAGTGACATGTCACCAACACTCTTCCAAGTCAACAGACGCCCTGCTAACTGTGTAGTGTAATTGTTCTGGGTGTGGCTGTCCCAGCATTCAGAACACGGCTCCTGAGCACTCACAGTGTTAATATCAACAGGCCTGCACCCCGCTCTTTGTACTGTGCATTTATAACTAATTTAAATCAATGCCTTATTCCTGTCCTCATTTCACATTTGAAACCGTGGAGGCACACAGAGGCTCAGCAATTTGGGAGACAGATTAAATGGCTACGGAAATGTCTGTGGCAGGAGAACATGAAGTTGGGCCCAAGTTAGTGAACTAGAGAGAGAAGACAGGATGAGTTAGGGTTGGCCGATGGGTGTCTCAGACCTTCATATACACAGTCTCATGGGGTCTTGTGAAGAGTGTGGATTCTGACGCAGGGATTGTGGTGCCCCAGACACCACAGGTGTAATAAGCTCCTTGGTGATGTTGTTGCTGCAGCCCTGACTCAGGGATTGTGGTGGCCCCAGACGCCGCAGGTGTGATAAGCTCCTTGGTGATGTTGCTGCAGCCAGGGAGCCCACCAGGAGCACTGGCTGCTGTGCACGCACCATGCCGAGACAGGCCCCTGCACCCTGGGGAGCACCCAGACTGGTTCAGAAATAGTCCTTCTTACAATGGATCTTAACTTCAGACAGCTGTTAATTGTTGGACTAAAAATCAAGGAAGATAAATGAAAAAATTTCAAGAACAGAAGAGTGATTTTGATGGCATAGGATGGTCTACAGGAGGCTGAAGGAGCATTCCTCACTTAGGAGACAGATGAGCAACGTCCCAGGCGGAAGGTCAGAGGGCAGGTGGAAGGTCAGAGGGCAGGCGGAAGGTCAGAGGGCACGCGCACAGGGGGCAGCTCCACACAGGCAGGTTGTAGGACTCCAGCAGTCTCCCTTCCTGATCCACTCTAAGGTCTCACCCATCTTTTATTTGCACCTTGAAGATGCCTGTGAGTAGCACTTTGGGGTCATTCATACTTAAAATGAAGCTAAAATGGACACGTGAAACGTCTGGGTATTTGGGCAAGGAGAGACGCAGGTGTACAGTGAAGTGCACCATAGGAAGGCTTGTTAACGTAGAACACGCAACATGCTATACCCTGAAGCACCTGCCATCAATTCCTTAACTGTAATGCCAACACGGAAAACCAGGAATCGTGAGTGAAGTGGCCGTTTCAAGTTTGTGCAGTCTCTAAGCCAAGGGAACAGGAAAACCTTGCGATTCGTGACCCTTTTGTCACTGAAGTGTCAGTGGCAGAGCCTATGGTCAGGAGTCATGCAATAGTGTTAACAGCAACCACGAGTTTACACAGATGTCATCACCCGACAGAGTAGTTGTGTTTCTATCACCGAGGCTTCTGGAAAGTTCTCTGGGAGAAACATCCTGGTCTGCTGTTCTCTGGGGCACTGTAATCTCTGGGTGATCTCCTTGTACACTGTCATTCATGACCAATCCCAAAATGCAGCAGGGGAGCACGTCTGCAAATCTGGCATTGTGCAATTAACAGTTTAAACAGAGGGTTTCCAGCCCAGGCTGCTGGTTTCCAGTGATGACACCCCCTCACCTATGTAGCAGGCCTCTGCCCTATCCATGCCCAGGCAGCTCCTTGTGCCGTTAGTGAGTTTGAAAGTTATTTCCGAGGCACCGTTCCCCAGGCCAGCTTTGTTTCTTCCTCTCCTCATCCCTTCTCTCCTCTTCTAATGGGAAGGTGGCTCCCGGGAGGGCACCTGAGACCACAGACTTGGCGGGAGCCGCACCCCTACCTGACCCCTGCCACAGCACTGAGTCCTGGTGGGTCTCTGGTGCACACAGGGTCTCAGCCTCTCCCTTTATGACTGAGGGTCTGGAAGCAGTTGACCACTGCAACCCTTCAAGGAGAAACATTTTGGACTTTCAAAATTGAAATGGAAATTTTGTTATTGTGCTGAATTATACATAATGTAAACTTTACCACCTCTGCCATTTTTAAATGTACAGTTCACTGGCATTGAGCACACTGACCTTGTGCAACTTATCACACCATCCCCCTCCCAGCCACTTTTTTTTTTTTTTTTTTTTTGGTAGATGGGGTTTCACTATTTTTCTCAGGCTGGTCTTGAACTCCTGGCCTCAGAGGATTCTCTCACCTGGGTCTCCCAAAGCACTGGCTCCAGGACTCTTTCATCTTCTGAAAACTCTGAGAAAACTGAAAACTGTGGACTTTGCTTGTATTTCTGCTTGCAAACCAGCCAGATTCTTGCACGAGACCATCTCTTTCTTCTGCGGTCTAGGTAAGTGCAGCTCATAGCACGTAGCTCACAGGAGACTGTGAGTCTGATGCCAACTTTCCTCTCCTAAAATGCAGTCCCTGAAGGCAGCTGGTTGGCCTTCTAAAGATTGCTGGTGAGTGTCATCTGAGCAGCCTTCCTCCCAGAACAGCAGCCATTCCTGCTCCTGCCTGCCCTGACGCCACTGTCCCATGAGACCAGAACCAGCGGTCCAGGTTTTGTGGCAGGGCAGTTCTGAAGTAGTTGGAGGACGCAAGCTGCTCTGACAGGAAGCCCCAGCCTCAGGAGTCGCACCCAGAGGGCTCTGCCTCAGAACAGTCAGATGGGGACTCTCATTCTGCTGTTCCCCGCAGAGGAACCCCAGTACACGGCTCTCCCCCCGGGAGGCTCTGTTGTCCAGCACACCTGCTCCCAGGTGCCCTGGGCTGACACCCGCTCAAGCCAGCACATGGGAGGAGCAGGTGGAAGTGGCCCACGGCTGTCTTGCCTTGCGGCCTGAAAGGTGCCTCCCCATCCTGCTCTCAAATTACCGCCAGGAAGCCACACTTGTCCACACCTAAACATGCGGGAGGCTGGGAGTGGAACCCAGTGGCTGGAGGAGGACCAGGCATGGGCTTGGGAATCAGCCACCTGTAGGAGGTGGAGGTGGAGGCGAGCCTTACTCTATGGGTTCCTGGAGTGGAGACGTTTGCTGCTGTGTTCCCTTTGAGAAAGCGCCCCTGCGAGTTCACCACAACTTTGCCTGGAACTCACGGACTCCCCTCTCTCTTCCCTCACCGGTGACCCCATTGGTCACGATTCCACGTGCCTGTCCTGAGGCCTCACTACCTAGAAAAAGGCCAGCTGGGAACATGGCCAGCCAAGGGGAGAGCCCTTGCTTTCTATCCCCAGATTGCTCCTGGGAAGATAACAGTTTCAGAAGCACCTTTTGGCGAAGAAATTTTCAATGACATTGCATTGTTAACTTATATCGGAAACATTCAGATGTTTTGTAATTGTCATTGAAGAAAGGACTGACCTTTGCAGAGGGGAGGCTGGAAATCCCATCCTTCCTGGGTGCAAGTGAGCTGCTCCCGGCCTTGGAGCTCATACCCGTGCCGGCAGGAATACACCAGCACGCGCCTCCCAGACTCCTCACAGTGCACAAAGTCCCCATTCTCCACGCTCTCTGGGAAGCCACACTTGTCGTCTATGAAATGTGGACAGGTTGACATGTAGTCAAACTACGAGAAAAGAAAACCACACACCAACGTCCCTGTCACGGGTGCGCTTGTGCCCTGGAGGGGCTGGTGCCAGGGCCGGGGAGCCCTGCTGTGGTCACTCACTGAGCACCCACGCAGCACACACGGCCTCTTCCCAGATCGGGCCCCGCGGGCTCCCTTTCTCTAGGCCTCCAGTTCCTTTCTCACTAGAGAAGGGCCCCGCCCCGCCCCGCCCCGCCCCAGGAGCTGCCCTGAGGGTGTAAGGCAGGGCGTTGACACTATTTTCTAAACAGTGAAAAGTTAAAATCAGCTCCTGGGGAAGATAAGCTTTGTTTGATGAGATGCACGTGCTGTAACGTGGTGTGAGAGGAGACCGAACTTCACCTTGAGGAAAGGTTTCCCTCCAGGCCTCCAGGTTCATGCCAGTGATGCTGTCACAAGACTCAAAGTCTTCGGGGAATTTGCCGACTTGGAAGGCATCCATGGGCACCCTGGTGAGGCCAGTGTTGTCACAGATGACCCGAGACAGGGAGTGCTTCTCCAGCTCACGCCTCTGTGCATCCGTGAAGACGTGGCTGTTCTCCCACCAAAACCTCCAGAGAAGGAGACAGTGAGTAAGGTCACAGTGCATGGAGAACCCCCAGGGCAGGCACTCAAGACCAGCTGCCCACAGCTGTGTGCTGCCAGCCTCTCCTGCGGCGTCTGCCCAGACCCCCAGCACCCGGGGCCACACAGGTGCAGGCGCTGAGGACCTGAAGGAGACCCTGTGGCGTCTGCCCAGACCCCCAGCACCCGGGACCACTCAGGTGCAGGCACTGAGGACCTGAAGGAGACCCTGTGGCGTCTGCCCAGACCCCTGAGCACCCGGGACCACTCAGGTGCAGGTACTGAGGACCCGAAGGAGATGTGGAGGGGCAGCACAGCGTGCACCTGGCTGTCTGAACGAGCGGCCTCAGAAGAGGGGCTCAGAGCCACTTTGCTTGTTGACTATGAGCATCTATTTTGCTGCATTGCTGTTATCTGGGGTGTATTGCTGTGTTAAAAACAAGAATGATGACAGCAAATCCAGCTATTTTAGAGGGTGCTCCTATTCTGAAGTCAACGTGCCCTGCACAGTCTCTCTACCTTCAGCTTCTTCCTCCAGGCCATGATTAATCAGAAAAATTGCAATGTGAAGAAATGAAGTCCCACTTTCCTCTCAAAATATGAAAATAGTTGCCAAAGCCCCAATAGCTCCTGGCCTGAATGCCGTAAAGCATGCATCTCCCATGTGCATCTCCCCTGCCACGTAAAACTCTTCTGCTTCCCATCACAGGGATGAATTCCTCTTAGAACATGAAAAAGAGGCCCCACTATACGTAAGTTAATTGATCCCATTTTTGCATTGGGGAGATATGTGGTCATAAATACATAGGATGAGAAATTGGGGGCACCACCCTAGGAACCTGCCAGCTGCCTCTGCACTGATTTCAGATGGCGCTTCAGCCACAGGTGGCATAAAACACGCATGGGAGACACACGTATGGGGCAAGCTGGTGAAATCTTCCCCCTTCTGAGCGAGTGGCTTCCCATGTCCCAGAGAATTCCAAACCGCACGTTTGCTGAAGACACAGCTATAAGGGAGACAAGTTCTCCTGGTGATTTCTACCCAGGTGTTCGTAGCTCTTTGAAAGGCTGCATCTCAGAAATTAGAGATAAAAGTCACACTGGGGAAAGGACAGGAGCCCCAGCGTGTGGCAGGTGCACTCTCTGGGAAGAACACAGATCCTTTACAACAAAAATCTGACCTCGGCACAGTGACTACCAAAAATAGAGAGAGAATTGGATAGGTAGGGATGTATTTAAAAGCAAAAGAAAACATTTTCCTATTGCTTTTGTCTGTGTTGTTCCAAAATCCTAACACTGGTATCCTGCGCACCTGCTTCTACGGGGGGCATGCACTCAGAGTCAGATGGGAACAGGATCTGCCTCTGACTCCCTCCAGTACAAACCTCCAAATTCTAGGTTGAACTTGAGGAGGGAGCAGACATGCATGAGGCAGGCAAAGCGGGACCTCAGCTTTCTGCTACCGGCAACCATCTGCTATCTGTAGGTGGGGTCTGGGGGGCCGGGAAGTCCTGTCCAGCCTAGAGGCATCCATGAGCACCGGGCATGGCCTGTGTCTGCGCCTGAGTCACTGTCCACCTCTGCGCTTTCCCGGGCATTGTCATGGGACGTGAGGGATGGGATGCAGTCTCCGGGCTGTCACGATTGTGTCACAATTTGTTTAGTTAGGTGCCTGCTTGCTCGTGTGGTTGGATCTAGGAAAAATCAGTGCTAGCTCCCATTCTAAGTGCTACGTGCTTCGTAGTTGCTTCATTGTTATAAAAACACTGTTCTAGGTTAAAGAAGCTGTGGGTGGGAGAAACAACCTGACCAGGCTTACGTAAGAGTTGAATGGTGGAGCCGGAATGTGAATGCAGGTCTGGCTGGCTTCAGAACCAACGCAGACCACCTGCCTCTGTGCAGAACGTGAAGGAAGACGCTCTGGATAGGAACGTACCAGTCACCGTCCCGCAGAGCCTTCATCTGCTTCCCAATGAGACAGGCAAACAGGGGCCCTGTCCGAGCCCTGGGGAGGAAGTTTTCAGCTAAGCCTCCCAGCCAGACATCGATGTTGTCAGGATGCTTGTACAAGTCCAGGATCTTGTCGGCCACGCTCCTGCTGGCGATGGCTGTGCTCAGGTCAGCGGGGGTCTCCAGGCGAGGCAGGCCGCAGAACTCCCTCCACTCATTGTAACCTGCACAGGGGAGAGGCTGCAGGGTTTCTCTCACAGAACTGAACTTTTGTTCAGCCCATCTCACTCATGCCATGGTCCCCGAGACTGGAAGCGCAGCAGGGCAGAGTCCTGTCCCACCCTGTGACACTGCCTGGCAGTTTGCCAGGCTAGGATATTCCAGCTCCGACGCCCGGCAGAGTCCTGTCCCACCCTGTGACACTGCCCGGCAGTTTGCCAGGCTAGGATATTCCAGCTCGGATGCCGGGCAGAGTCCTGTCCCACCCTGTGACACTGCCCAGCAGTTTGCCAGGCTAGGATATTCCAGCTCAGATGCCGGGCAGAGTCCTGTCCCACCCTGTGACACTGCCCGGCAGTTTGCCAGGCTAGAATGTTCCAGCTCGGACGCCAGAGCTCTTTTTGCAGGTTTGTTCATAAAGGAGCTGGAGACAGCAAGAATGCTGAGTCCGTGACATCTAAGTGCATTCCTGTTATTGCCCAGCCTGCACTTAGTTCTTGCCTCTACAGGGCAACTGACACAGCTCTGCATCCTCTTCAGAGTTTGCCTCCCACAATGACATCAGGAGCACACACAGAAGCCAGCACCCCCCCCCCCACCCACTCACACACACACACACAAATATCTTTATCTGTCTGGCCACTCATCTCCATATTGAAGACTGGAGATCTTTTCTTCCTGGGAGCCCTGGTGAATCCCTGGCCTCTCTTCTCACTCCTCCTCCTGCTCACTGACCCACGCCTCAGCTGCTCCCTGCCCAGGCCCCCGTCCATGGTCTGACTCTGTGGCTGCGCCTTTGCCTGACACTCGTGCCCCTCCCTGTGCCCCACTCCTCACATCTGCCTTCGTCCCTCATCCACTCCTCTTGGTTCAGCTGTCACCTCCTCCAGAAGTGCTCCCTCCTCAAGGATGGGCGACCCTCACTCCCACGGGTTCTGATCAGAGCGCCGCCCAGGGCCTCTGCTACTGTCTCTACTCATCCACCCGCCCTGTGTGGTGCTTTAGCTAAGACTGTCTGGTTCTACTCTCAGCGCCCTGCCCACCACAGGCTCCCAGCAGAAGTCCTGGACAAGCACACGCACAGCAACATGTGAGCACTGGGCTGGTTCCCCCCAGGGACAGTGAGGCTTTCATGGGACAGAAGGTTGGGCCTCTTGGTGTCTCATGTTTAGACCAAACAGAACTGGGAGAAATAGCCAGGCATCCTCCAGTTGGTCTGGGAAGGGGATGCCCATGTGGTAAACAGACTCATGGAGCAAAGGGGTGGGAACAACTTGGAAGAAGAGGGATTGGAAGAATGGACAAAGTGAAAGAGGAAGGCATGAGTGAGATTCAAAATCTGCGCTTCTAGAGGCCAGGTGCGGTGGCTCATGCCTGTAATCCCAGCACTTTTGGAGGCCGAGGCGGGCGGATTGCCTGAGGTCAGGAGTTTAAGACCAGCCTGGCCAACATGGTGAAACTCCATCTCTACTAAAAATACAAAAATTAGCTGGGCGTGATGGCGGGTGCCTGTTATCCCAGCTACTCGGGAGGCTGGGGCAGGAGAATTGCTTGAACCTGGGAGACGGAGGTTGCCGTGAGCCGAGATCACCCCATTGCTCTCCAGCCTGGGTGACAAGAGTGAGACTTCGTCTCAAAAAAACAAAAAACAAAAAAAATCCTGAGCTTTTAGAAAACTGCTGTCAGGTGCCATTGAGTCCATTTCTTAGCAGGTGGCTCCCTGGTTCACCCTCAGGAGGAACAAGTGTGTGTCTGACTCTTGTGCTCCTAGAGTCACCTGCCTTGGCTGGCCCCGTAGCCCTGGTGCTTCCACATCTGGCAAGGGTTCCCCCGAGCCCCCGTGAGAAGCTGCGCTGCCTCAGCCTGACTCCTGCTGTCCACAGTGGGCTCTGCCGCCCTGTGATCTGCAGAAACCACTCTCGTTTTCTGTCTCCAGATGGGCCATCCCAGCCCTCTCATCAAAGCCACCGGGAAGTGCTTTGCCCCGTCAAGAGGCTCTGTGTCTCTCCATCTCAGCACCTCCAACAAAATTTCATCTTTATCACCCAATCTACTGTAGCCTAGACCATCCCAAACATACCCCACAAATTTCTCAGCTCCAGGAATAGGTAACCTGTAGACACTTGGTTTATATAGAAAACAGACGCCCATTGCTTGCCACAGGGCTTGGGGGACACAGCAGTTATTTCATTAAATATTTACTAAAAGAATGCAGTTATTTTCAGACTAGTGAGAAACCAAAATAATGAGCAAATTAAAGTTCTCAAATGAGGAGAGAAAGTTTCTGTATAGTCAATTTAGACCATTGTCAAACTGTTTTAAGTAGTCCAAAATAATTAAAACATTTCTAATACCTGTGAGAGATGGAAATCTTAATTTCAAAAAGAAAAAACAACGAAGTTAGAAGGGTAATTTCCTTTCTTATTGCTCTAAGAGGAAACACATTTGCATCTTTTTCCAACTCTAGAGGGAAAATATGCAAGGCCTGTGCAGGAGGTAAAGACATGGAGGCTGAAGCTCATCACAGCTTCAGAGGCCGCAGAGCTGGGAAGAAAGAACATCACTTTAGATGTCCCTGCCTGTGGGAGACACTGCAGAAACGGGAATGCAAAAAAAAGTGTTTTTTTGGTTTTTTTTTTGACTGAGTCTCGCTCTGTCACCCAGGCTGGAGTGCAGAGGCATGATCTCAGCTCACTGCAACTTCTGCCTCCTGGGTTCAAGCAATTCTCCTGCCTCAGCCTCTCAAGTAGCTGGGATTACAGGTGTCTGCCACCACGCCCAGCTGATTTTTTATATTTTTAGTAGAGACAGGGTTTCACCATCTGGCCAGGCTGGTCTTGAACTCCTGAACTCGTGATCTGCCCGCCTCGGCCTCCCAAAGTGCAGGGATTACAGGCGTGAGCCACTGTGCCCAGCAGCAAAAAAGTGTTTTGGGGAAGGTTGTACATTTTATATTCCCCGTAAAGTACAACAAAAGATTTCAGGGCGTAGTGGAAATCATCATCACAGCTCAGCTTGCTGAGACATGAGCGTTTCTCTTTTATCTGATTTATCCTCAGATCGAACTGATCAGATCTAATGAAGCCTCTGCCAGGTTTGTGGCCTTTCTGGTGCATCGATGCCTCCAGTTGCTGGAATTCAGACCTGGGGAAGTTGCCTAAACTGTCTGTGCTTCAGTCTCTCGATCCATCTTTTAGAAAGTGATCGCAGTCCGGCCTTCTACGGTGGCTGGGGTATAGAGTGCTAACACATGCAGTGGGCTTCGAACTGCAGGCCGCAGGGACCCATGTGTGGCAGCTCTTACACTGCTGTGTCGTGACTCCCCCTGTGTGGGACCCTCGTGGCGGCTCTTACACTGCTGTGTCGTGACTCCCCCTGTGTGGGACCCTCGTGGCGGCTCTTACACTGCTGTGTCGTGACTCCCCCTGTGTGGGACCCACGTGGCGGCTCTTACACTGCTGTGTCGTGACTCCCCCTGTGTGGGACCCTCGTGGCGGCTCTTACACTGCTGTGTCGTGACTCCCCCTGTGTGGGACCCACGTGGCAGCTCTTACACTGCTGTGTCGTGACTCCCCCTGTGTGGGACCCTCGTGGCGGCTCTTACACTGCTGTGTCGTGACTCCCCCTGTGTGGGACCCACGTGGCGGCTCTTACACTGCTGTGTCGTGACTCCCCCTGTGTGGGACCCTCGTGGCGGCTCTTACACTGCTGTGTCGTGACTCCCCCTGTGTGGGACCCTCGTGGCGGCTCTTACACTGCTGTGTCGCGACTCCCCCTGTGTGGGACCCTCGTGGCGGCTCTTACACTGCTGTGTCGTGACTCCCCCTGTGTGGGACCCACGTGGCGGCTCTTACACTGCTCTGTCGTGACTCCTCCTGTGTGCTCACACCAAGCACTCTCGTGTTTGCGTCCCCAACGCTCAAACGTGAGGTTGACTCTACTGTCCTGGGCGCTCAGGGGAGGAACTGGGAACCCCACAGGTTAATTAAGAGATTCATCCAAAATTGAACTCCTCAGGTCCAATCCCAGGTCTTCTGAACACAAGTCGGGCTGTGCGCTGGTCTTACTCCTGTTCCCTTCCCGCTAGGCCCTTCTGTCCTTGTCAGCGTTTATTTGCCCAAACATTCATTCATTCATTCATTCATTCATTCATTCAGTGAGGGTTCCCTAAGTGCCTGTTCTGTGCCAGTCGACGGTTCTGGGTGCTAGTGATCACAGCCCTGAAACACAGCCCTTCCTCCTGGGCTTACGATCTATGGGGGGACCCACAGGCCAGTGGGAACATGGGTTTTTGCCTTTGGCCATATTTCAGTTGGTGAAAAGTGAAGCAGAGGAAGGTGGGGGTTGTGAGAGCCGGGAGGGGGTCCCCCACTCTGTGGCACAGTTAGCTTGGGGAAGTCAGCAGTGGGAACATGAGGAGATCAAGCTGTGGGGCCTGAGCAGGGCCAGCAGCAAAGGGGGTCCCAGCCAGAGGCAAGGTGTGTGCTGGGCATGTGTGGGTGTGTGCTGGGCATGTGTGGGTGTGTGCTGGGCATGTGTGGGTGTGTGCTGGGTATGTGCTAGGCATGTGCTGGGCATGTGCAGGCGTGTGCTGGGCATGTGCTGGGCATGTGATGGGTATGTGCAGGCGTGTGCAGGTGTGTGCTGGGTATGTGCTGGGCATGTGCTGGTCATGTGTGGGCATGTGCTGGTCATGTGTAGGTGTGTGCAGGCATGTGCAGGTATGTGCTGGGCATGTGCCGGGCATGTGCGGGTGTGTGCTGGGTATGTGCCGGGCATGTGAAGGCATGTGTAGGCTGTGCTCCCTGAGCTCTGGCAACAAGAAAGCAGCTGTGTTTGGGTGCAGGGAGTGAGGGGGACAGTGTGCGTTATCCTGACACACATAGGGGCCCCTTCTGCATCCTCCCAACTCACATTTAGTCCCCAGATATTCACAGCCTGTGTGGCTGCTGATCCCAGCCCTTCCAGATGCCACTGGTGAGGAAGACAGGGATGGGGGAAGGGCCAGGGGACAGAGGAAGGCCCAGGGACGGGGCAGGGCAGGACTTGCCAGCACTGTCCATCTCACATGTCACCCACACACAACAGGAGGGCACCTCCCAAGCTCCCAGGGTACGTGGAGAGAACAGAGCTGCACACAGAATAGGAGGTGTCAGGGGATCGGGCCTAGACAGGTGCTGCAGGTTGACCAGACAACCGAACCACCTAGGAGCCCAGAGGAGGGAAGGCTGAGGTGGGCCTGAGGTCAGGGAGTTGGAAACTGGGCAGGTCAGGGAGGAGGCTGCCGGGTGGGGCCTGGGAAAGGCAGGAGCCGGGTGGGGTGTGGGGAGCACAGGGGGCTGCTGGCCTGAGAGGAGCAGCCACTCCTGCCAGGGGCCAGCTTGGACCAGTTAGTTAACAGCAGTCCTGATGTGACGGAATGATCTTTGCAGGCTCTGGGACCTTGTGGTGGGGAGGAGAAGGGGAGGGGGGCACTCTAGCCATCCCAGGAGCTTCCCGGGATACCAGATACAGACCTGCCATTGTCTGCCCGCGCACTCCCTCCTCCCTCTACTAGAAGCGGCTGTTTCTCAAGGTCCCAGCTCATACGTTCCTGGGAGGTTCAGAACCACCCTCTTCGTGCCATTTCTATCTCTAAGAAAAGCTGGAAGTGGCCACTTTAGCTGAATGAACTGGAGCCCTTTAAGAGCCGTTGCTTAGAAGGCCTCAGATTTGTGATTGTTTTCCTCTAAATCAGTCTCTCTAGCAGCAGGTTGCTAGCTCGGCAAATCCCGCAGCAGCTGCATGAGGTGTGCAAGGGAAGGAACTGGCAGACCTGGCAGCCCGTGGTCCCGGCCCCTCTGCAGGTTGATGGACGCCAGATCCAAGGTGCTGGAATTGGACAGCACAAAGAGCCTTTCCGTCAGCTCCTCGTTCATCAGCTGATCCTGCACCTGCAGTTTGGCTGGTCTTGCAAGAAGGCCTCGTATTAGTGGGTCCAAACCACCTGGAAAATACCATGCACAAGGCAAGGACAGCTCTTGGCTCAGTTCTAGAGAAACAACAATATCTCAATTTTTTTTTTTTTTGAGACGGAGTCTCATTCTTTCTGTTGCCCAGGCTGGAGTGCAGTGGCGATCTCAGCTCACTGCAAGCTCTGCCTCCCGGGTTCACGCCATGCTCCTGCCTCAGCCTCCCGAGTAATTGGGACTACAGGCGCCCGCTACCATGCTTGGCTAATTTCTTTTTGCATTTTTAGTAGAGATGGGGTTTCACCGTGTTAGCCAGGATGGTCTCAATCTCCTGACCTGGTGATCTGCCTGCCTCGGCCTCCCAAAGTGCTGGGATTACAGGCGTGAGCCACCGCGCCCAGCCCAATAGCTCAATCTTATCCTCAGCAAACCTTCGTGTAAGTTCATGAATTCAGCTTGTGTGATTCCAGAGTTTCCTGAATGTCCTCAGGACACTGCCCTTGTTGGCAGGTGAACCACTGGGCTGGCACTGACAATGTGGCTCATGGGGGATGGACCCTCAGAAAGAAAGGGGCCTGGAGAAGGAGCCCACCAGTTTTTAAAGCTTTTTGTTTTATTTCTCAGCAACAGAAAGATTACAAAAAAAAGAAGCGTTTGCTGAATTCTAACATCCAGAACAGTGAAAGGAAGACTCAGCTTAGCTGAGGGAGTGGCCAGGGTGCCTGGGGACCACTGTTCCTGTCATCTCCAAAGGCCCCGCATGGAAAGCAGGCCCCACGGCCTGTCAGGGTCGGTCTATCTCAGTGGCGTGTGAACCCACCACTGCATGCCACCAGAGTCTTTAAAGGATCGGTTTGGCCTTAGGATGCCCAAAAGGAAGACTTAGAAATCACGACATGCATCGTCCTGTGTGGGATGACCTGGGTGTCTTCAAATGCCGGGCACCTGCTGAGGGCCAGGCTGGCCCTTGCCCCTCTGGTGCACTGTGCATGACTCAGCTCTCATCTAAGCAGGTATCGCCGGACGCACTGCAGCACCCCTGCCCTCCCCACTCCCCACTACGCCTGGAGCCGGTCAACTTTTGAGACAGGTTAGAAGCTCCCAGAAGGACTTACAGACTACTGGGAAAGGAATATAAAGAAAAAATGGGGAAGCTTAAAAATAACCCTTCCAAAAAACTAATTGGGGGAATAGGATCATTTTCTTCCAAATAATTAACTTCCAAAGGTAACCCATCATTAACATTCTAAAGATGATGGTGCTGATCATAACTATAGAACAGTTTAGCCTTTTATTTTTATTTTATTTTATTTTATTTTCAAATGGAGTTTCACTCTGTTGCCCAGTCTGGAATGCAATGGTGAGATCTCGGCTCACCTGCACCCTCTGCCTCCCAGGTTCAAGCGATTCTCCTGCCACAGCCTCCTGAGTAGCTGACTACAGGCATCTGCCACCACACACGGCTAATGTTTTTTGTTTGTTTATTTTGTATTTTTAGTAGAGATGGGGTTTCACCATGTTGGCCAGGCTGGTCTCAAACTCCCGACCTCAAGTGATCCGCCTGCCTCAGCCTCCCAAAGTGCTGGGATTACAGGTGTAAGCCACCGTGCCTGAGCCCAGTTTAGCCTTTTAAAATGCTTTAAACACATTTATTTTCCCCACAGATATTAAAAACCTTGTGTAGGATCAGCAAGTGTGCCCATACGGAAGGTCTGCACGGCTGCGATGAGTCATAAGAAAGAAGTGAGACCTGATAAACATCGATGCGAAAATCCTTATGCAAAAATTAATTCAAGATGGATTAAAGACTTAAATGTTAGACCTAAAACCGTAAAAACCCTAGAAGAAAACTTAGGCAATACCATTCAGGACATAGGCATGGGCAAGGACTTCATGACTAAAACACCAAAAGCAATGGCAACAAAAGCCAAAATTGACAAATGAGATCTAATTAAAGAGTTTCTGCACAGCAATAGAAACCACTATCAGAGTGAACAAGCAACCTACAAAATGGGAGAAAATTTTTGCAATCTACCCATCTGACAAAGGGCTAATATCCAGAATCTACAAAAAATGCAAACCAATTTACAAGGAAAAAACAAACAACCCCATCAAAAAGTGGGCGAAGGATATGAACAGACACTTCCCAAAGAAGACATTTATGCAGCCAACAGACACATGAAAAAATGTTCATCATCACTGGCCATCAGAGAAATGCAAATCAAAACCACAATGAGATACCATCTCACACCAGTTAGAATGGCGATCATTAAAAAGTCAGGAAAACAATAGATGCTGGAGAGGATGTGGAGAAAAGGAATGCTTTTACACTGTTGGTGGGACTGTAAAGTAGTTCAACCATTGTGGAAGACAGTGTGGCGATTCCTCAAGCATCTAGAACTAGAAATACCATTTGACCCAGCGATCCAATTACTTGGCATATACCCAAGGGACTATAAATCATGCTGCTATAAAGACACATGCACACGTATGTTTATTGCAGCACTATTTAAAATAGCAAAGACTTGGAACCAACCCAAATGTCCATCAGTGCTAGACTGGATTAAGAAAATGTGGCACATATACACCAAGGAATACTATGCAGCCATAAAAAAACGATGAGTTCATGTCCTTTTCAGGGACATGGATGCAGCTGGAAACCATCATTCTGAGCAAACTATCGCAAGGACAGAAAACCAAACACCGCATGTTCTCACTCATAGGTGGGAATTGAACAATGAGAACACATGGACACAGGGCGGGGATCATCATATCCCGTCTGTCGTGGGGTGGGGGGCAGGGGGAGGGATAGCATTAGGAGAAATACCTAATGTAAATTACGAGTTAATGGGTACAGCAAACCAACATGGCACATGTATACCCTACGTAACAAACCTGCACGTTGTGCACATGTACCCTAGAACTTAAAATATAATTTAAAAAAATTAAAAAAAGAAGGGAGAGTTCATGGGGACCAGCTGCAGGGACCGCACTCACTCACCTCCACGGAGTAATGTCCATGGGCTGAAGAAAGCCTGGTGCAGCCACAGCCCGGGCAGGTCGGGGTGCTCCTGGAAGCTGGCGTCCAGCCTCCTCACCAGCGGGTGGATCGTGGCATGGCCGAAGCGGAAGGCGGCTGTGGAGAACACGTTGGACACAGTGGGGTTGGCGGTGGAGTCATAGCCTTCATAGGGACCCACGTACTGCTGGAAGGCCTCGGGTCCCAGGATCCTGGGGATGTAATCCCTCAGGGTGATGATCTGTGCAGATAGGAAAAGCATCTCAGTGAGGCCCAGGATACCAGAGGAGGGTCGCCTCGAGCGGCAGTGTGGAAGAGCATCTTCCTTGACAGCCCCAGGGAACTGGACCCTTCTCGTCTTGTAATAAGGGCCTCAGCTGAACTTCCCAGAAATGCCTTCTTGCTGATTTTTTCATGGATATTCAGGAGGTGCGTTTATAGGGCTGACTAGAGAGCCTCCTTCCCAGGATGGTGATGGGGCTGGCAGTGGCAAGAGACAGCACCTCTGTCGAGCCAACAATGGCCACCGGGCCAGGCTGGGCAGCTAGACTCCTGGCTGGATGATTGACAGTGGGGAGCAGTTCCTTTTTCTACAAAGCAACAATAATACCTAATTCCCAGAGCCTTTGTGAGGATTAAATCAAAGCATGTTGTATGGCAGAGAGCTCTGTCGATGGAAAATTACAGTTGCAATCACAGGGCCTGGAAATTACGATTTGATACATGGTCCCAGGAGAATTATGTACCAAGATTCTACTTTCAGGTTTAACAGTGTTTCTTTCAGACAGAAAAATCAGTGTCAAGTTGTTTTGGTATTTAAGGGGAATATTTTGGTCAATAAACTGCATCCAAATGAAGCATAATAGGAATAATTCTAGAATATGAATCTTCTCTTTTAGCTTACCAGTTTAGGAAGGCAAGCGGATTGTTTAAAAATAACCAATATTATTTACACACTTGTAATATGTTTCTTCCATGTGCCAGAATGCATTTCCTAAGCACGTAATTTGGCCCTTCAGGGAGACCAGGGAGAGCCGTGAGTCTTGTGTGGCCTGGGCCTTCACTGAAGGTGCACCTGCCCTCGCTGTCCCGCTCCACCTCGGAGACCTGGACAGACAAGGAGGAAAAGGCAGCATCCAAATGTTTCCCAGTGGGGTTTCCGTCCCTGTGCTAGTTCATCCATTGGTGCCAAGCACTGTGCTATGGGTCAGCATCCCAGAGAGTAGTTGCACGACTTCATCGTGCAAACAGCCTCTCCACCTCAGGTGCAATTTATGTGGCAACGTTTCTGAACCACACAGGTGTCCAAGGGGCTCCTCCTAACCGCGTGAGAAGGTCCGTGTGCTTCCCACATTCAGAACTCAGGCAGCACCTTCTGTTCCCTGGAACATTCTTTGGTTTCTTCTCACTACAATAGAAAGGAAAAGGCCTCTCTCTTTTTAGCCCAGGGACTGAGACAATTTCAAATTCAAGTGCAAGCTATTTTAAGGAAGACACCTCTTCCCCTTCTTGCCTGCCTGAAGTTTGACTTGTGAGCCAGGGGATGCAGCAAGCACAGGCAGAGAACTGAGGCCTGAGCCTCAGGTTCAGCAGCTCCACCTGTGCCCGGCTAGCTGTTAACAGAGAGGAAACCTGCGCCCTTCATCAGAGCCTCACAGACACTGTACTTCCTCAGTGTCTGATCTTGCCAGAGCTCTGAACAGTGTGTCTCTCCTCTTCCCCACTGCCTCCTCATCTGATCTGAAACATCCCTGGTAAGTGATTGGCTCAGATACTGCAGCCTCCCCTGGGAGCCGTCGAGGTTGGGCAGAAGCACCCATTGTTCTGACCAATGGGGCCTTAAAACTTGAATCTTGAGTCAGGCGCGGTGGCTTGCGCCTGTAATCCCAGCACTTTGGGAGGCCAAAGTGGGAGGATTGCTTGAGCCCAAGATCAAGACCAGCCTGGGCAACACAGTCAGACTCTGTTTCTACAAAAAAATTTAAAAAATTAAAAATTAGCCAGGTGTGGTGGTGTACACCTGTAGTCCCAGCTACTTGGGTGGCTGAGGTGGAGGATTGCTTGAGCCCAGGAGGTTGAGGCTGCAGTGAGCTATGATTGTACCACCGCACTTCCGCCTAGGTGATAGAGGAGAAGCTTTCTCAAAAAGAGAAAAAGAAAACACTTGAACCTTGTAAACAGCTCTCTGGAATTTTCATGGCAATTCTTCTGGAAATGCTTCTGGTATTTCTTTACCTGGTCGCATGGGGGAAATGGTTACTCTGAACTATTGGACCTGGGCAGACGCCATACTGTGAGACCGGGGCATCGTCGCTGTCAGGTGCCCCTCCTGCTCACCTCCCAGGTGGGCCATGTCTTCTTCCTCTGCTGGCGGTACCATGTAGAGGCCTCATCTTCCCAGGCTGCTTCAAGCTGCTCCTCCACGTCTGCTCTCACCCCAGCCTCCTGGTTCCCCACAGCCTCTGCCAAAGCCACCAGGTGCTGACTTGTGGCCACTCTCCATTTCTTTGCCTTCACAACTCACCAGTGGGAATGACTGAAAGGTCCACACTTGGGAAAATGATGGGCGTGAAGGTGACGGGAAGCCAGGACCCCAGCACACGGGGAGACCAGGACGAAGAGACCTGGAGATGCGATCCTTGTCACCGACGGTGGGAAACAGCCGCGTAGCCCCTGGCACAGGCTCCTCTGAACTTTCTGACTCTCGACTGCTTTCAAAGTCACCTACCCTGCTCTACGCAGAACATCACTCAGCATTTTCTCAAACATGCCCTATTAGTCCAATAAGAGGCTCCCATATGCTTGCTGAGGGTGCTCCAGGGAGGAGGCTGAGCAGGCACCCAGCTCCCCAAGGACGTGACACAGCCAGGCCTGGCTTGTGCTCCTCCGCAGGAAGCCCTGCAGCATGGCGCACCTGGGCTTGGTCCAGCCTTGAGGTAGGGGCCTGGCTGTCCCTGCAGGGCAGGGAACAGCCTCCACAGCTACCCCTGGAGAGGAACGACCAGGAGACTTTGTCAGCCAACATTGGAGGCCACTGGGGGATGGGGCCCTGCAGATAAAGGGGCCTGGGTGGGGCAGCAACAGCACCCACTGCAGGAACGGCCCTTTCTCTTTCTTTCCAGCCTTGGAAGCATGACTTTATCCATCTGCTCCTTTGCTCTGGAAGAGCAACCAATCTGAAAAAGTACTCAGCTACAGCAAAGGTCAGCAGCCGAGTGGCCCAGGGATGCAGCCCCTGCCCCGAGACATGGATCTGCCTGCCCGGGATGGGGATGTCCAGGGAGATCTGCAGTCCCTCCGGGGTCTGGTTCTACCTCCACACACATCCAAAGCAAAGCTTCTGTGGGTCCCTGGATATCTGGGGAAATCAAGGCTGTGCTCCAGAAATAGGTCTGCTATCTGATGGCCGGGGCATAGAAAACATCCACGCCAGATATTTGGGATGTCTTTATCTTTTCACCCTGTGGAACCCAAACTCCATGCTGCCTGGATGGCACACCCAGACTCCCCGAGGATGGCTACCTCCTCTCTGCCTCCCTCACACCTGTGCTGGGAAGGGTTTCCTTTCTCATTCTTTTCTTGTCTGTAGAACACAAAAGTTATCACCAAAGTGAGCAACTGATTGTGAGTTCTTGTCTTATGACACACCTAAAGCAGCTAGGGTTTTCTGGGATTGAAGAGCAAGAGCTTCAGTTCCTCCTGGTGGGAAGCAGGGCTTATGGATCCAGGGTCCTGTGGGATCTCAAGCCAGCAAGAGCAACTTTATCAGCCCTTCCTACGTGCGAGTCCCCCGAGAGATGCCGGATCCCAGGAACCAGCACAGAGGGCGGCCCTGCAGATCCCTCCCAAACATGCCCACAGCAGAAGTCCTGTGGCCCAGGGCTGAGGGAGGGGATAGCTCTCAGCTTTCGACAAAAGAAATTAGAGGAGCCAAGATCCTCAGAGTGGGGGCGGCTGTGGTTGGGCCCTGACAAATTAGAGTGGGTATGGTGAGGACAGACGCAGCAGCAGGGACGTGGTGTGGACAGACGCAGCAGCAGGGACGTGGTGAGGACAGACGCAGCAGCAGGGACGTGGTGTGGACGGATGCAGCAGGAGGAAGGTGGTGTGGACGGATGCAGGAGGAGGGAGGTGGTGTGGACGGATGCAGGAGGAGGGAGGTGGTGTGGACGGATGCAGCAGGAGAAACATGGTTTGGACGGATGAAGGAGGAGGGAGGTGGTGTGGACGGATGCAGGAGGAGGGAGGTGGTGTGGACGGATGCAGGAGGAGGGAGGTGGTGTGGACGGATGCAGCAGGAGAAACATGGTTTGGACGGATGAAGGAGGAGGGAGGTGGTGTGGACGGATGCAGCAGGAGGAAGGTGGTGTGGACGGATGAAGGAGGAGGGAGGTGGTGTGGACGGATGCAGCAGGAGAAACATGGTTTGGACGGATGAAGGAGGAGGGAGGTGGTGTGGACAGATGGAGGAGAAAGCTGTGACTCCCGGCTCTGAGATGACCTTTCCTGTCTCTTGCTGATGTGTGCATTAGCCTGGCCCTGGCTGGCTCGTGTGTGTGTGTGTGTGTGTGTGTGTGTGTGTGTGTGTGTGTGTGTGTGTGTGTGTGTGTGTGTGTAGGGGGTTTGAGGGGTGATAGAGGGGGGGATGCTATTTCTCTTTCATAAGGTTGCCCTGGCATCTCTTTTCATTATCTAATGTTTTTCAGAAGAAGAGAGATTCAGATTACAAAGTTACCAAACTACGAGTCAGTAGAACCAGGGAGAGAAAAATGAGGCTTCCAGGCCCAGGCCACCGTGGATCTTTCAAATACGGCTAGAAGTCGCAGCAGTGGCTCTATCGACACGTTAAACACAACTTATTATTTTAATGTATCAAAGGTTTTTGCAAAAAGCACCAAAGAGGACCTATTAACTGAAAAAAATACAAAAGGAAATTCAAAAGTGAAATGTAAAACCAAGAAGAAAAGAATGTTCACAGTTTTTTAAAAAGCAGAACACACAGAAAATGAATTGAGGAAGGTAAATATGAAACAGAGAAGAACACTTTTCCTATTGGTTGCTGTTGTTATTATTTCATTAATAATAAGAAAAGGCAACTGGGCGCAGTGGCTCAGGCCTGTAATCCCAGCACTTTGGGAGCCTGAGGCAGGCGGATCACTTGAGGAAAGGAGTTCAAGACCATCCTAGCCAACATGGCAAAACCCCATGTCTATTAAAAATATAAAAATCAGCTGGGAGTGGTGGCACATGTCTGTGGTCTCAGCTACTTGAGAGGCTGAGGCAGGAGAATCGCTTGAACCTGGGAGGTGGTGGTTGCAGTGAGCCAAGGTCTCACCACTATACTCCAGCCTGGGTGACAGAGTGAGACTGTCTCAAAAAAAAAAGAAGAAGAAGGAGAAGAAGAAGAGGAGGAGGAGGACGAGGAGGAGGACAAGGAGGAGCAGCAGCAGCCACAGCCGCAGCAACCAAATGTCATTATTTCTAGGTCAGTAGGATTCTCAGTAACTTGGAATTAAACTGTCTCTAATCTACAATGACTGGGCCTGGTAATAATTCACGCCTCTAAATAATCCCAGAACTCCATGGAGAAGAAAGACAACAGGGTGCGTGACAATTGGGCGTTTCCCGCTCTGTGAACGGGCTCCAGGGATCAGAGGCAGCTGCTCTTCTCACAGCTCCCTGGGCTGGATGAGGTTCTCACTCAAAGAAGGTTCAAACCAAATCCTGCTCCTGAGGAGACAGAAGGGGCAGGACTTCCAGAATTATTTTTGAGATTCTACTTCATTCACAAACTCTACATATATTTATGAAGCAACCTGGCAAATTGTGGGTCCTGAGAAACAAGAATTAAATGGATGAACATCTGCCCGTGGAGGTCGCAGTCAGGGAAGGGGCACAGAAGCAAGGAAGCAGACAGGAGCGCCGAAGGCCTCAGGGGTTGAGCAGAGGGGAGAAGGCAGCCGTCTGGGACCTGCCTCCCCACGCGTGTGGCCGGAAGTCCAGACTCATGGAGACGAGGACCTGGATTCCACCGCTCAGCAGCTCCTGGGTTTATATTCCCGTTTGCACGGGGAAGCAGGAAAGTGTCTGAGTCGCTGCTTGAAAGCGACGTGGGTGCCTGATGATTTTTACTTCACATAGTGACAAGGTTCCTGTTTTCATTTCTAACTCGATCTTCTCACCCACATAAGCCTCCTCCGTCCGGCTGATGCTCCCCACCAAGCGCTACTGTGTGGATGTGTGTGTTAGGACAGTGAACTCGTCTGCCGTGTTTGCTGTGTGGATGTGCGTTAGGACAGTGAGCTCGTCTTCTGTGTTTGCTGTGTGGATGCGTGTTAGGACAGTGAGCCCGTCTGCCGTGTTTCCTGTGTGGATGTGTGCGTTAGGACAGTGAACTCGTCTGCCGTGTTTGCTGTGTGGATGTGCGTTAGGACAGTGAGCTCGTCTGCTGTGTTTGCTGTGTGGATGCGTGTTAGGACAGTGAGCCCGTCTGCCGTGCTTGCCGGAGAAGTGTGAGGGCCTGCTGCTGCCAGCCCCTGTTCCAGGAAGCTCCAGGTCCCCTCGCCACCCAGGAACTAAGGGTTAACACCCAGCGCATGGAGGCTTCCCAGACCCTCTGCTCTGACCTTTGGGGCCTGGACCCCAGTGCAGTGAAGGCCAGAAAGCGGCAGGGGCGCATGGTGCCCGGGGGCAGCCGGTGCCACACACAGCCCCTGTGCCTCCTCGGACAAGGCTCCAGTGCCTCCTTTAGAACAGGACTGACGCGCACCTCCCTGCAGGCTCCCGGCTAGGACTGCAGACACGATGCCCAGGCCGCCACAGGGCCTGGTGCAACAGACACACACGGTGACTCGCATATCAAACAGCCCATCCTTCTTCCTAACAACCTGTGAGACCCCTAGAGTCAGGGACCGCATTTCCAGGTGCATAAGTGCTTTTCTCCATCACACAATTAATAAAAGGCCAACTTGACTCTCCATTCAAGACCCTCTCATGTGATACTTAAGAAAGTCATAAAATGAAGAAAGGTTTCAAATAGACTCTAACTTGTTAGTTCAGAATCCTCACACAGAGTCGGTTCTTCATTCACTGCACTGTCTCTGAAATACAAAAACACCAGCACCCCTGGTCCACCCACCTCCAAGGGTTGTTCTGGGAATTATTAAATGAGTTGAAATCTGTAAAGCACGTAGCTTGGCTGTGCGCACCGGGAAACCTGGGTGGTCTGGCTGCCACTGTTGTGGGGCTGTGGTTGTTGGGTCTTGGTGGGATAATCACCAGCCGGCTGGAGGGTAAGCAGGTGGGACAGAGGGGCCCCGGAGGGCCGCCAGCTCCGGAGTTACCCTTCGGCCCCTGCACAGGAGCTCACGATGACCCTCCACACGCCCATGCAGGGCGCCCAGCAGGACTGCGCACCCACACAGGGCCCCACGACCTGGAGCTCACCCATGTGGGCGCCCATGATGGCTGTGCAAGTACCTGGGAGAGAGAAGCCACGATGCTGCGCACCCACACGAGGCGCCCCCCGCTTTGCCCGCAGCCACCCAGGGCGCCCAGGACCACCCCGCGCACCTGGTGCAGAGCGCCCACGACCTTGCGCGCCTCCTGGTACACGGCGTCCGCGCTCCAGTGCGCATTGAGGGCCTTGAGCGCCGCGGCCAGGCGGTTGTGCTCGCGCAGCCACAGCGTGTGCAGTGCCGTCAGGGAGGGGACCTCGCTGGCGCGGCCGTCTCCGGCCAGGAAGCAGGGCCCGCGGGTCTCTCCGGGGATGCCGGGCTCGGGCGCACAGGCCGCAGGCGCGCGTGGCGGCACGAAGGGCAGGTAGGCGCGGCCGGAGTCCCGGAGGCGCGCGTGGACGCGGAGCAGCCCTTCGGCACTGGTCCAGTTCCGCAGCTGCCTCTCTAGGGCCGGGGAGCTGCCATACACGGTGGACGCGTCCAGGAACGAGGTCAACCCGTTCATCTGCTGCCGCGGGTTGGCCGTGGACAGGTTCCCAAAGAGCGCGCCTTGGTCCCCGGTGCCGCAGGCGGCCGAAGAGCGGTAGAAGGGCAGACAGGCGGTGCCCGCGGCCGGCCGGGCCTCCTCCGGGAGCTGCAGGCAAAGGGGAGTTCAAGGTCACCCAGGGCCCCCGTGCACCCTTTGTAAGACTCTGGAAGTTCGAGGCCGGCGACGACCCCGCAGCGCCGCACGTTTCTCTGCCCCTCCAGTCCTCTGTAGGGGTCAGTCCAGCCAGTCCCCTCACCTCCCCCCCCGGCCTGCTTACCGGTGGTCTCTTGCCTGGAAGAGGCTGCAGGGGTTGGTCCAGCCAGCCCCCCACCTCCCCCCTGGCCTGCTCACCGGTGGTCTCTTGCCTGGAAGAGGCTGCAGGGGTCGGTCCAGCCAGCCCCGCACCTCCCCTCAGCCTGCTCACTGGTGGTCTCTTGCCTGGAAGAGGTTGAACCCAGAGGATGGACCCCACATCCTAGGAGTCCACATCTCCCCAAAGCTCAGACGCTCTTGGCCTGAGCCAGTCTCGCTCCTGCTCAGACCTGCTCTAGCTGCTCATGGAATCCCCGGTCTGGTTTATTTTCTGACTTTCGGAAGAGCTGACTTCTTCCTTTCCAGTGCCATGGACTTGGTTTAGGAGCACAATGAGTAAACAGTCTCCGAGTTTTGTGGGCATCACTGTTTAGTGTAAAGGCAGCTTGAGGGGAGTGAGGAGACCTTGGGTGGGATTCCAACTCTGGCTGTGGCCAGCTTCCATCTTCTCATCTGTAACATGGAGATCTAAAATATTTTTTCCAGATTTACAGGTTTCCTGGGAAGAGTCGAGCTCTGTGGGCTGCAGAGAGCATGTGCCCTTTCCCTGTCAGCTCTTCCTCCCTGGTGAGGTGTCACGGGGTCAGGGCCTACCCTGGGCGTTATCAGATTTAGGAGGTTAAATCGCTCATCCAGAATCACAAGATCACCGGGGTTGGACAGATTCCGAAAGAGACTCTTCCTGAAGATCACGGTCTTCTCGTAATAGGACATTATTATTACCAGTGAAAATAAGGGGAAAGCTCCTCTCGGGGCAAAGTGCAGCCTGGGCACTGAGGAGTAGGAAGGAACGGAAGACCTGGGCTGCATTAGGGAAATGCGGCCAGCGAGCCAGCAGCCGCTCAGGGGTTGGCCGCTCGGTGCCGTGCGGTGCAGGGAGACAGGCCGAGCTCCTGATGGACCCAGGCACAGGAGGTGCAGCAGAAAGAATGTAGGTGAGAGGGAGTCGGCCTTGTGGTGAAGCAGCAAAGCAGATGCTGTCAGAACCCCTCTGGGCAGCGCCCAGGCCTGGCAGCTGTGCAGCCCAAGGCCAGCTGGGGGTCGGGGCAGCAACGAGGCCCCAGCCTTGGCTCAGAGCCAGCACAGGGTCCACGTTAAAAAAGATCGTGCATTAAACAAGCGCTTCCGGCCGGGCGCGGGGGCTCACGCCTGTAATCCCAGCACTTTGGGAGGCTGAGGTGGGCGCCCAGCAATTTGGGAGGCCGAGGTGGGCGGATCACGAGGTCAGGAGATCGAGACCATCCTGGCTAACACAGTGAAACCCCGTCTCTACTTAAAATACAAAAAATTAGCCGGGCGCGGTGGCGGGCACCTGTAGTCCCAGCTACTCGGGAGGCTGAGGCAGGAGAATGGCGTGAACCTGGGAGGCGGAGCTTGCAGTGAGCCGAGATTGGGCCACTGTACTCCTGCCTGGGTGACAGAGCGAGATTCCGTCTCAAAAAAAAGAAAAAAGAAAAAAAAAAAGCGCTTCCACTGAGAGCCTCAGGGAGGCCTGCGAGGCTTAGAGTAGACGAGGTGAGTACTTGGGGCCAGCAGGGAACCCAGGGAGGAGCTGAAATTCAGCAAAAGAGTAGGAAAGCCAAGAAAACCGTGACAGCCGGAACTTCAGTGCACGCCCTTCAGAATATACAGGCCCAGAGGCCCCAAGAATGGGAGGAAATAGAGGAATTAAATTGAAGAGCACAAATAATAATAAAATTACAAATAAATAACAAGGAGCTGCAAATTCTCCTACTCACTGATTCAAAGAGACTCTTAAGAAGAGCTGAAAGTGTCTCCAGAAATCAATGAAAAGTTAACTCACTTGTTAAGAAAATTCAAGCACACCAGCAAAGCCTTCCTCAGAAGAAAATCTGTGCTCTTTAAATTGCTTTCATCAAAACAACAAAAACCAAGAAATTAAGTAGCTATTTTAAGAATTTAGTTAAGTAACAAAGAGCTAAAGCACAAATAAATGAGAAAGTTAAATTAATGCATGCAGAAGTTAAAATAATTAACTATGAATAAAAGACCTGGTGGGAAGAAAACATGAAGCCCTGCTTCACAACCCAGTGTGGAAAACAAAGAAAGAGCACCGAGTGAGGCAGGATTTGCCATGAGAAAGGAGCAGGGCTCAGGCATGCAGGAGAGATGAGAAGAACCAGGAGCGACTGTATATGCGGTTTCATGGCAGCACATTGGAAAATGAAGAACAGATCGATGACTCCCTAACAAAATAGAAATAACCACAGCTTTTCCAAGAAGAAATGTAAAACTCCAATGGACAATGAGGATGGAAGAGATAGACAAGGTGATCAGAAATCCAGAGGTCAGATGGCATTGACGGTGGACTTCTATCAAATCTCGAAAGGATAGGTAACTCCAAGGTTGCTTAAACTATTTCAGCCATGGAAAAGATGAAAAGGGCCCCAGTGCACTCTACAGAGTCAGCGAAACTTTTGTATTGGCCTCTGATGAAAACAGGACAAGGACAGGGCATACAGATCAATATCCCTTCTAAATAAAATAATAAAAGATAGGGCAGCAAATCAAAACAGCAATTACCATAGTCAAATAGAATCTATTCACAGAATGGTTCCGTGTTGGAGAATAGAGTTGTATTTTCCAGGGTGTCAGCAAATTAAAGAAGAAAAATTAATATCATAGGTACTTAAAATGCAATAACACAATTTACTATTACTTACCATTCCTGGCTAAATAGAAATAGAATAGATTGGAATTGCTAAAATATAATGTAGAAACAATAACAAATATTATCTCGAGCAGTGAAACAATGGAACAATTTAATTTAAAATTAAGGACTAGCAGAAACTCCCGCTATCATTGTTGGTACTTAGTACTATCTCAGTTAGACCAAAGTCTAGAAAATAAAATAAGAGCTGGTAAAGCTACTGTAAGAGAAAATAAGATTTAAAACATAATAAAATTATTTTTTCTTAATGCTATGTTAGATGTCTACAACATCTAAAAATTCTAAAAAATTGATAACATTTCTTTAAAAAATGTCTTCGATCTGAGGATAAGTATAAAACTGTTCTTTTCCTTCTTTCTTTTTTGTTTTGTTCTTTAGCAAAGTACCATGAATGGTAATGGAGAAAAAAAAATCCCTTTCATAATGACAAAAAAGTTGATCAAAATCAGGTGTGTAAATTTAACAAAATAATCACATGATCTACAAAAAGAAAATCATAAAACATCATTAAATATACAAAAAATTTGGGAAAAGATCATTTCTCTCTAAATGAATGTATAAATTAAATGCAATTTCATTTACAATAATAATGATAGTACTTTTTCATTTTGAAATAGATAAATTAATTTTAAAGTTTATATGAAGATACAAATTCCATTATTTATTTATTCCTTAATAAACTAGGGAAAAGAATGGTGATGCGGTATTGACTTGACAGATAATAGGATATACTATAAGGCCGCTATGACCAAGTCCACACGGTATTGTCAACAAGAACAGATGAATCTGTTAATAAAAGAAGACAGAGAGCCCAGAACCAGACCCCAGTTCTTCTGTGACAAAGTGCTATCTAGGCCTGTGGGGAGAAGGAGGGCAGAACCAGCTGGTTTTCCATCTGAATGGGAATAAAACGCACCCAGACTGTCCACTGTGCAAAATGAATGGAAACCCGTGCTGTAATACCACCCAGGAGGTCACTGTCGACTTCGAGCAAAGGAGATTCCTGAACCAAAACTGAGCCTAGAAGCCATCAACACATAAGTAGACCTGGCCTTATAAAATATGAAAGTGCTTCATGCTGACAGTTCTGTATTGATGGGGCTGTAGAAAAACATTTGTAAGAAAAGTGAGAGATAGAGAGTTAACATCTAGAGTGGAAAGGAGCAATTAAAATCAATTAACAGTCAAATAGTAGAAAAATGGACAAAGGCTATGAACAGATCATTCGTTGAACAAATACAAATTGCCAAAAAAAGATAAATAAAGGACAACTTTAAAATTCACTAATATTCAGGGAAAGCAACTAATGTAACAACGAAATATCTCTCTCTCTCCTTTTTTTTTTTTTTTTTTTTTTTTGCCGCCAAACAAGCAGAAAAAAATGAGAAAAAAACAAGGCTGTTGCCAGTGTGGATGGCGAATGTGAGTAAGGGGTACACTCAGTCGTTGCTGTGAGGGTCACAGAATTTTTAGACAGTAGTACCAGCATAGCAGTGCTAAAGCTGCCTTCCAACCTGGCAGTGTCACTTCTGGTGATCCACGCTGTGGCAGAGGCTGTAACACGGAAGGGCACACCCATGGCTGTGACCCGGAGTGTGGAACAGTCCAGCCGTAAGCAGGGATGGCTTGGCGCTCCACTGGGGGGATTCCCAGGACACATCACTACTGAGTGAGAATCCAAGATACAGAACGTGTACTCAGCATAGTCTTGTTTTTGTTAACAACATTCAAGAGAATATGCTTGTGCATGACTTCTTTAGGTGTAGCCAAGTGAGCATTCATATCATGGAAAGGGCACACCGTGACCACTCATATCGTGGGAAGAGCACACTATGAGCACTCAGATCATCAGAAGGACACACCATGAGCATTTGGATCAAGGGAAGGACATAGCATGAGTATTTGGATCACAGAAAGGACACACCATGAGCACTCAGATCATGTGAAGGGCACTCTATAAGCATTCAGAACACAGGAGGGGCACGCCATGAGCATTCACGTCATGGAAAGGGCATGCCATGAGCATTTGGATCACAGGAAGAGCACTCTATGAGCGTTCAGATCACAGGAAGTGCATGCTGTGAGCATTTGCATCATGGGAAGGGCATGATATCAGCACTCAGATCACAGGAAGAACATACTATGAGCACTCAAAGAATGGGATGGGTATGCTATGAACATTCAGATCATGGGAAGGGCATGTGCTATGAACATTCAGATCATGGGAAGGGCATGTGCTATGAACTTTCAGATCATGGGAAGGGCACACCATGAGCATCAGGATCATGGGAAGGGCACACCATGAACATCAGGATCATGGGAAGGGCATGCCATGAGTGCTGAGATCATAGCAAGGGCATGCTGATTAAAACGGGGTGCCCAGTGAATCCCTTTGAGCCCACTATGCTGTCTACACCAGCTTCTTACTATTCTAGTTTCATTTATCATGCCCCCTTTCCCCTACACACACTTCAAATATCAACATTTGGGAGTCAAATGATTGGTTTGGGGGCAGGGGCATGAGTGGAGAACATGGGAGTGAGCAGGAGGAGAGTCTAGCAAATGAGGGAGGGAGAGGAAGAGACTCGTGTCGGGAGAGTCAGGCACAGTTTAAGTTTTACATTTATGTGAAATTACACTTACATGTGGGTGCTCAAGTTTAATGTAAGAAATTCTTATTTGAATTAAAACCTATTTTGAATTAACATCAATGTAAGGACCATGTATCAAAATTTGTGGGGGGGGGTCACAGGAAAATACATAGTCTTAACTACACTTGTCAAAAAGCACGACACAGTGAACGTAACTCAACTCGCTTTCAGCATAAGAGGGTGAGAAATGTGAAGTAGATGAAAAAGTGTAATAGGAAGGTAATAGAAAATAAAGAACAGGAAAGACTTATGGGCTCGAATAGACTAACTGCACCCAGAACTGAGCCCATAACCAAAGATCTGCCACCCCAGAGGTTATCAGGACCAGAGTCACAAATAAGCTCTACCAGTTATTCAAAACAAAAAGCCCAAATTTGATTTTAGACAAGGTAATCCTGAGCATAGTAAAAGAATGGGCAACCCCTGACCACTGTCAGATGCTGGTGTGTTTGTAACACCCAAATAGGTGCAGCATCGGAAAAGAGCACTGTAGCACAACTCTGCTTATGAAGAGAGAGGCAACATTTCAAATAAAATATTAGCAAATTCAATCCAAGAATAAATGAAAACCTGCATCACCATCATGCAGGCCATGTAAATATGGCACTGCGTTGGAAATCTACCAGTGTAGCTCACACAATAATGAAGTGAAGTGGAAGCCCTGTGGCCTCCTCTGCCGATGCTGGGAAGGTATTGAGTAAAGCTGGAACCCACAAGCCTCATTAAAATTCTTGGGAAATTACAAATAAGATTTTCAAATTTCTAACTGAAGTTGTCTAGCAGAAATTCCTAGTAGACACAGTATGTGAGGAAAAACATCAGAATCATGCCCTTTATCTAGGAACAGAGGCAGATGCTGCTCTCACCATGGCTTTTTTAAATGTTACTCACTAAAGCAGTATTTTATCTACACAAAATAGAGTCAGAATAAAACAAAGTTGTATATCAAGCCCAGTTTTTAATATGTTTAAAATAAAATATAGAAAAATATATTTATATATATATTATTATATATACCAGATAAGGAAGACCTGCTCAGTAAGATAACAATGTAGATGTCATAGAGAAGAAAAAAAATTGACGAAAATCGACCTAAATTTATGAATAATGGCACCGTAAACAAAATGAAAAGCCAAGCAATCATATAGAGTGAAGGACCAAGGCTCACTCCTTGTCCACCTTTTTCGCCTTTGAAACCTGTTTGCAGCAAAGATCTAACAAAGCTCACGTCCAAAGTTATTTGGATCTAAGTATTCCGGGCAGCTATTCTCATTTTGGCTCAAGTAAACTCTTTAAAATGTATTTTGTGCCTCAGCTTCTTGCTTTAGGTCAACAAAAGAGACACAGATACAGGTTTTAAAGCCAATAATGTAAAATTCAAGATTTTCTTCTTTACCGCATTGGAAAATAATAGGAATTATGTAAGATTAATTGTTGCTGAAAAATAATCAATTAGAAAATACAATTCGCCATCTCATTGCTGCAGAGAAATTTGGGAGTACCTATTAAAATTCCAACATGAGGAGGATTTTTTGTGACGGATCATGGCGGACAAGAGGCAGGACTAGGTTTCAGCTCTCACTTGGACAAACAGAGCAGTGTGTGGAGGTTCACGTCGTGAACTTTTGCTCCAGAACGACGGCAGGAATACATTAGGAAAGCCAAGAGAAACCGCAGACCCTCTGAAGAAAGCGGATGGCTCCTGCAGGACTCGGGAGACACCCCAAATACTGTGAGTGCCCAAACTGAGGAAGTGGGAGAGATCGTCCACCCTGAACATGCACCCCCACTGCGGAACCTGAAGGTCTAGATTACGGGAGAAGATTCTGACTTTACCCGGAGCTGAGTCCATTTAGAGAGCCGAGTGGAATACAAGAGTAGAGGAAGCAGCCAGAAAAGCCCTGTGGGATCTCTGGGTCCCCTAGGAAGCCATTTCCACCTTGCCTCACAGGGGTCCTTCAGGAGGGCTGCCAGAGGCACCTGTAAAAGGCCACAGGGAGAAGGAAACTGCCAGCTGAACTTTGTAACAATTTGAACTTGGTGGCTAGATCCAGAAGAGAGATAACAATAACTACACCTTAGCTCTCAGGAAGCCACATCCCTAGGAAACAGGGAGAGTACTAATCACGTCCAGGGAACACCCCCTGGGGCGAAAGAATCTGAACAACAGGCTAGAGCCCTAGACCTTCCCTCTGACAGAGACTACCCAAATGAGAAGGAACCAGAAAACCAACTCTGGTAATATAACAAAATAAGGCTCTTTAACACCCCCTAAAATCACACTAGCTCACTGGCAATGGATCCAAACCAAGGAGAAATCCCTGATTTACCTGAAAAAGAATTCAGAAGGTTAATTATTAAGCTAATCAGGAAGGCACCAGAGAAAGGCAAAGCCCAATGTAAGGAAATCAGAAAAATGATACAAGAAGTGAAGGGAGAAATATTCAAGGAAATAGATATCACAAATAAAAAACAATCAAAACTTCAGGAAACATTGGACACACTCAGAGAAATTCAAAATGTACTGGAAAGTCTCAGCAATAGAATCAAACAAGCAAAAGAAAACTTCAGAGCTCAAAGACAAGGTCTTCAGATTAACCCAATCCAACAAAGACAAAGAAAAAAGAATAAGAAAATATGAAGATAGCCTCCAAGATGTCTGGGATTATGTCTAATGACCAAACCTAGGAATAATTAGCATTCCTGAGGAAGAAGAGAAATCTAAAAGTTTGGAAAGTTTATTTTGGGGAATAATCGAGGAAAACCTCCCTGGCCTTGCTGGAGACCTAGACACCAAATACAAGAGGCTCAAAGAACACCTGGAGAATTCATTGCTAAAAGATCATTGCCCAGGCACATTGTCATCAGGTTACCTAAAGTTAAGATGATGAAAAGAATCTTAAGAGCTGTGAAACAAAAACACCAGGTAACCTATAAAGTAAAAACCTATCAGATTAACAGCAGATTTCTCAGCAGAAACCCTACAAGCTAGAAGGGATTGGGACCCATCTTCAGCCTCCTCAGACAAAACAATTATCCACCAAAAATGTGGTATCCAGCAAAGCTAAGCTTCATAAATGAAGGAAAGATAACAATCTTTCCCAGACAAACAAATGATGAGAAAATTCACCCCTACCAAGGCAGCACTACAAGAACTGCTAAAAGGAGCTCTAAATCTTGAAACAAATCCTGGAAACACATCAAAACACAACCTCTTTAAAGCATAAATCTCACAGGACCTATACAACAAAAATACAATTAAAAAAACCAGCAAAATCACAAAAACCCAAGGGGTACAGGCAACAAATAGCACAATGAATGGAATGATACCTCACATCTCAGTACTAACATTGAATGTAAATGGTCTAAATGCTCCACCTAAAAGATACAGAATTGCAGAATGCATAAGAATTCACCAACCATCTGCTGCCTTCAAGAGACATGCCTAACACATAAGGACTCACATAAACTTAAGGTAAAGGGGTAGAAGAAGGCATTCCATGCAAATGGACACCAAAAGCGAGCAGTGTAGCTATTCTTATATCAGACAAAATAAACTTTAAAGCAACAGTGGTTAAAAAAGACAAAGAGGGTCATTATATAATGATAAAAGGCCTTGTCCAACAGGAAAATATCACAATCCTAAATAAATGTGCACCTAACACTGGAGTTCCCAAATTTATAAAACAATTACTAACAGAACTGAGAAATGAGATAGACAGCAACACAGTAATAGTGGGGGACTGCAACACTCCACTGACAGCACTAGACAGGTCATCAAGACAGAAAGTCAACAAAGAAACTGTGGATTTAAACTATACCCTGGAACAAATGGACTTAACAGGTATTTACAGAACATTCTACCCAACAACTGCAGAATACACATTCTATTCAACAGCACATGGAGCTTTCTCTGAGATAGACCATATGATAGGTCTCAAAATAAGCCTCAATAAATTTAAGAAAATTGAAATTATATCAAGCACTCTCTCAGACCACAGTGAAATAAAACTGGAAATCAACTCCAAAAGGAACCTTCAAAATCATGCAAATACATGGAAATTAAATAATCTGCTCCTGAATGACACTGGGTTAAAAATGAAATCAAGATGGAAATTAAAAAATTCTTCGGGGCCAGGCACAGTGGCTCATGCCTGTAATCCCAGCGCTTTGGGAGGCTGAGCTGGTGGATCACCTGAGACCAGGAATTCAAGACCAGTCTGGCCAACATGGTGAAACCCAATCTCTACTAAAAATACAAAAGATTAGCTGGGCATGGTGGTGGATGCCTATAATCCCAGCTACTCGGGATCCTGAGGGAGGAGAATCACTTGAACCCAGGAGGCAGAGGTTGCAATCAGCCGAGATTGTGCCACTACACTCCAGCCTGGGCAACAAGAGCGAAACTCCATCTCAAAAAAAAAAAAATTCTTTGAACTGAATGACAATAATGACACAACCTATCGAAACCTCTAGGATACAGCAAAGGCGGTGCTAAGAGGAAAGTTCATAGCCCTAAATGCCTACATAAAAAATCTGAAAGAGCACAAACTGACAATCTAAGGTTACACCTTAAGGAATTAGAGAAACAAGAACAAACCAAACCCAAACCCAGCAGAAGAAAGGAAATAACCAAGATCAGAGCAGAACTAAATGAAATTGAAACAACAACAAAAAAAATACAAAAGATAAATGAAACAAAAACCTGGTTCTTTGAAAAGATAAATAAAATTGATAGACCATTAGCAAGGTTAACCAAGAAAAGAAGAGAAAATCCAAATAAGCTCAATTAGAAGCAAAATGGGAGATATTACAACTGACACCACTGAAATACAAAAGATCATTCATGGCTACTATGAACAGCTTTATGCACATCAACTGGGAAACCTAGAGATGGATAAATTCCTGGAAAGATATAACCCTCCTAGCTTAAGTCAGGAAGAATTAGACACCCTGAACAATAACAAGCAGTAAGATTGAAATGGTAATATAAAAATTACCAACAAAAAAAGTCAAGAACCAGACAGATTCACAGAAGAATTCTGCCAGACATTCAAAGAAGAATTGTTACCAATCCTATTGACACTACTCCACAAGATAGAGAAACAGGCAACCCTTCCTAAATCATTCTGTAAGGCCAGTATCACCCTAATAGTAAAACCAGAAGAGGACATAACCAAAAAAGAAAACTACGGACCAATAACCCTGATGAACATAGATGCTAAAATCCTTAACAAAATACTAGCTAACCAAATCCAATGCATATCAAAAAGATAATCCACCATGATCAGGTGGGTTTCATACCAGGGATGCAGGGATGGCTTAACATACACAAGTCAATAAATGTGATACACCATGTAAGCAGAATCAAAAGCAGAAATCACATGATCGTCTCGATAGATGCATAAAAAGCATTCAAAAAGATCCAGCATCCTTTTATGATCAAAACTCAGCAAAATTGGCATACAAGGGAAATAGCTCAATGTATTAAAAGCCATCTATGACAAACCCACAGCCAACATAATTCTGAATGGGGAAAAGTTGAAAGCATTCCCTCTGAGAATGGGAACAAGACAAGGATGCCTACTCTCACCACTCCTCTTCAACATAGTACTCGAAATCCTAGCCAGAGGAATCAGACAAAAGAAATAAAGGGCATCCAAATCGGCGAAGAGGAAGTCAAACTGTTGCTGTTTGCTAATGATATGATTGTTTACCTAGAAAACCCTAAAGACTCCTCCAGAAAGCTCCTAGAACTGATCAAATAATTCAGAAAAATTTCTGGATACAAAATTAATGTACAGAAATCAGTAGCTCTTCTATACGCCAACAGCAACCAAGCTGAGAATCAAATCAAGAACTCAACCCCTTCTACAATAGCTGAAAAAAATAAAATACTTAGAAATATACCTAACCAAGGAGATGAAAGACCTCTACAAGGAAAACTACAAAACACTGCTGAAAAAAACCACAGACAACACAAACAAATGGGACACAACCCATGCACATGGATGGGTAGAGTCAATATTGTGAAAACAACCATACTGCTGAAAGCAATCTACAAATTCAACACAATTCCCATCAAAATACCACCATCATTCTTCATCAAATTAGAAAACAAAATCCTAAAATTCGTATGGAACCAAAAAAGAGCCTGCATAGCCAAAGCAAGACTAAGCAGAAAGAACAAATCTGGAGGCATCACATTACCTGATTTCAAACTATACTATAAGGCCATAGTCACCAAAACAGCATAGTACTGGTACAAAAATAAGCACATAGACCAATGGAATAGAATAGAGAACCCAGAAATAAACCCAAATACTTACAGCCAATTGATCTTCGACAATGCAAACAAAAACATAAAGTGGGCAAAGGACACCCTATTCAACAAATGATGCTGCGATAATTGGCAAGCCATGTGTAGGAGAATGAAACTAGATCCTCATCTCTCACCTTATACAAAAACAACTCAAGATGGATCAAGGACTTAAGTCTAAGACCTGAAACCATAAAAACTCTAGAAGATAACATTGGAAAAATTCTTCTTGCTATTGGCTCAGGCAAGGATTTAATGACCAAGAACACAAAAGCAAATTCAATAAAAAGAAAGATAAATAGTTGGGACTTAATTAAACTAAAGAGCTTTTGCACAGCAAAAGGAACAGTCAGTAGAGTAAACAGACAACTCACAGAGTGGGAGAAAATCTTCACAATCCACACATCTGACAAAGGATTAATATCCAGAATCTACAACAAACTCAAACAAATCAGTAAGAAAAACCAAACAATCCCATCAAAAAGTGGGCTAAGGACATGAATAGAGAATTCTCAAAAGAAGATACACACATGGCCAACAAACATATGAAAAAATGCTCATCACTAATGATCAGGGAAATGCAAATCAAAACACAACACATTAGCACCTTACTCTGGCAAGAATGGCCATAATAAAAAAAATCAACGAATAATAGATGTTGGTGTGGATATGGTGAAAAGGGAACAACACTTCTACCCTGCTGGTAGGAATGTAAATTAGTACAACCACTGTGGAAAAACACCGTGGAGATTCCTTAAAGAACTAAAAGTAGAACTACTATTTGATCCAGCGATCCCATTCCTGGGTATCTACCCAGAGGAAAAGAAGTCATTATACGAAAAATGCATTGGCACATCCGTGTTTATAGCCGCACAATTCACAATTGCCAAACTGTGGAAGCAACCCAAATGCCCATCAATCAATGAGTGGATAAAGAAACTGTGATTTTTTATATACGATGGAATACTACTCAGCCATAAAAAGGAGTGAATTAATGGCATTTGCAGAGACCTGGTTGAGATTGGAGACTATTATTCTAAGTGAAGTAACTCAAGAATTGAAAACCAAACATTTTATGTTCTCACTCATAAGTGACACCTCAGCTATGGGGATGTAAAGGCGTAAGAATGACACAGTGGACTTTGGGGACTCAGGGGGAAAGGGTGGGAAGGGAGTGAGAGATAAAAAGCTACAAATTGTGTTCAGTGTATACTGCTTGGGTGATGGGTGCACCGAAATCTCACAAATCACCACTAAAGAACTTACTCATGTAACCAAACACCACCTGTTCTCAATAACTTATGGAAATAAAAAATTCCAACATGAACATAATTCATAACCCACTAACTCCACTTTGTAATATGTACCTAGAGATACACATTGGTGTGCATGAGGAGGCTTGCATAGCTTTGAGGTTGTCGATACATTCATAGCTACATATTTTCTGCAGTGGATGGGGGGTTTGCAGCACCCAGTGGAACATCATCGGGCTGCCTGCACCCCCACTTAGCCGAGACCAGAAGGAGCAAGGTCATGAAGAAAAGCCCAGTCCTAAAATAGAGGATGCTGCAAAGCTCTCACAGCTCCCTGGGCTGAGTGATCAGTAGTCAGAGACTCAAAACACTTTAATTTATAGTCTCGTGTAGTTGCTGGAAACATGTTTCTCTTAGGAAAACTGAATAAACATAGATATGATAAATTGTGTGGATCATTTTCTGTTTTGCTTTGGGATTCAAAAGTCCCAACTTGCTCCAAGCTCACTAAGAACTTCCACCCTCTCACTCCACCGTAAATACTCAGAGACCAAACTGGATGCTTTGAGTGTAAAGGACATCAAACATTTAAAAGCACTGATTTATGATGTGTCATCTATTGGGTTTATGGAGCTACTCCTAGAGTATACGGTATATTTTTCATCTCACTGGAGTGACTGTTAGCTCAATCACTCAACTACTGAAGGCTGCCCTGGGGATGGACAGGATCTGAATAATTGATGGACACTCTTAACTGCAAGCCAGGAGGTTCATGCCTGACACCAAGAGCCCTGGAAAGTGCCCTGGAGACCCACCCTGGGGCCTCTCCCACGTTCTCACCCACGGGCACGCAGGTGTCCTCCCTGCCAGATGTGGTCTTGCCTTTTATTTTTAAAATTGTTTACAAATAATTTTATTGTTATTTTTCTCTAAGTACAAAGATAATATATGCTCAATAATGAACATTTTGAAATAAGAAAAGTGACAAGTACAATATCATCTAAAATTTTACTAAGCTGGGCAACATTTTACCATTTCCATAATATCACTGTATAACATGATTGTCTAAAGTTGCTTGTGTTTCTCATGCTCATAGCCTGTGATCAACGTTTAAAGTTTTTCAGTATTTTGGTGATATAAACAATCGTGACAAACTAATATATTCACCCACTTTTAAGGGCAGTTTGGACATTGTCCCTAGGGAAGATTCTTGTGGTGCTGTGAATGGGCCTGATTTCATTTCATACCTTATGTCACATCGTGTCCCGAATGTATTCACCAGTTTACTTTTGCACAGCAATGCATGGATGCAAATGATTTCTCAATACCCTCAACAACACTAAATTAAAATTTCATAATTTCTTTCCAGTCTGTATGTTTAAAAACAGCATCTTGCTGTTCATTTATCTTTCATTGATATCTATGTGTGTGTGTGTGTGTGTGTGTTTACCTACACACACGTATTTGGGTTTTCTTGTAATTTTCTTGTTCACATCGGGTGTTTATTCCATTGGGTGTTTATTTTTTTCTCATTGCTTTATAAGAGCTCTTTATAGAATGAAGATAACAATTCCTTGTGATTCCATATTTTCAAGTCGTCCCCTGAGGGTTTGCCTCTTGTCTGTGCCCTGAGTTTGTGTCCAGGGACCTTAGCGCAGAGCCCTGAGGTCTGGAGTCAGCTCCTCAGCTCCTGGGAACAAGCCCTGCAGGCTCCCCGCCTGAGATGGTCCAGCCCCTCCCCGCCTGCTGCCCACAGCACCTGCCCCAGCCTCTCTGCCTTCAGGGTCCCACAAGCATGTGCTCCGTGTGGAAGGGAAGTGCTGTCAACCCCAGTCCTGCCCCACGAAAGACAGGCTGGCCCAGAAGAGCCAGAAGAGAAAGTTGAAATAGGGCAGAGAGACGGTACCTGGGGTGACCGGGCTCACTCTAACTGAGCCCTAAAAAGAAAGGAGGACACTGGAGAGTGACATGGCTGATGAGAGCACCCGCCTTTCCCTTGAGATCCAGTAGGGAGCCCCGAAGGAGCCAGTGCCCGGACCCCCCGGAACCTCTGCGGGGGTCTCCACGGGCATCACAGTATCCTGCTCCTCGCCACGGCCCCCCCTGCCCTCGTCCAATACACTCCTGAGTTACACAGGGTCCGCATGTCAGCAGAAGGATCCTGGAGCAGCTGTGTGCATGTGAGGTGTGTGCAGGTGTGTGTGTGGGTCTGTGTGTCATGAGCATGTATAGGTGCGTGTGCCTGTGTGCACGTGTGTGTATGGGTGTGGGTGGGTGTGCATGTGTGTGCACAAGGGCGTGCACACAGGTGTACGGGTGGTCACGGTCACCTGTGCCTGTGAGTGTGTGCATGCCTGTGGGTATATTTATGCCCGGTGGGGCAGGGGGCCCTGGGGCCCAACTCACTTTTGCTTTTCACTCCCACTCGGGTTCTTCTGAGGAGACTTTTCTTGGGACAAAAGGCCAATTCCTCCCCTGAGGCAGGTGGAAGTCCAGTTTCCCCAGGGCCAGCCTACCCAGGCGGCACCATAGCCACAGTGCCTAGGGCCACAGGAGCAAGTGTGGCCACAAAATCTTTAACTTGCTTTAAAATCAGAAGAAAATAATAAACATTTAGGCCAAAGAACGTTTGAACCTACATTAATATATTTATCTTTATACGAACGCAGCCATCCACATAACTGAGTATTGTGGGTGGAGGAAGGAGCCTCTGGGGGCGGGTGTGTGGGGCTCACCACAACCATCACGTGACCCTGGATACCAGCAGAACATGCCCAGGATGATGCCCTGGCCAGAGGCCCCCCAACCTCCCCCACGGTGTGTGTGGCCCTGAAGGGCTGGGCTTTTCCTGGGGTCCTTGTCTGGCCTCAGGGCTACCCGTGTCCTTCCCACCCAGATGGTGGCCCCCAACTGTCCCACCTGTCTGGACAAACATAAATTACCCCAATAGCAGCCGCAGACTTGCAAGAACAATCCCTCCTTCTTCCAAGGCTGCTTTTCACCAGCTCTTGCCCAAACCAGCGAAACTCCAGGAGATCCCCAAAGGTGGAGCCCCCACGCACAGTGATTCTCTCAGTGCAGCTCCAGGGGAGCCCAAAGGTGGAGCCCCCACCCCACTACACAGTGGTTCTCTCAGTGCAGCTCCAGGGGAGCCCAACCTCCACACAGAGTAGTTCTCTCAGTGCAGCTCCCTACCCAACGTGCTCCCTCCCTGCTGAGCTTCCCTAATCACCCCACATCCCTCTCAGAGGTCTACACTTCCAGCAACACAGCAATAACAATACACGTTCATTGAATTCCTTCTCTGAGCCTGGTTTTGCAAATTCGATCTCATTTCATTCTAATTGCTACATTATTAGGTGGGAAATATACTCTTTTTATGGACAACAAACCTATATACATGCAGCTAATAAGTTACAAGGCCAGCCTGGGAAATATACTCTTTTTATGGACAACAAACCTATATACACGCAGCTAATAAGTTACAAGGCAAGCCTGGAACCCAAGACCTGATAGATAATAGGTGCCCATCTCCACTGCTTCTCCAGGCTGCATAACTCAGTCATTTTTTTGCACAGATTGTGCTGGGGAGCCACTTAGCTGGGAACGAGGGCCTCTGCTTGGCAGACTGTTCATTGCTGAAGATACAGGTACTTCTGCAAGATCTAACAGCTCTAATGTTAACAGATGAGAACTTTGGGGTCCTGAGTGGTGAAGAATAACACTAGGGCCAGGCACAGTGGCTCATACCTGTAATCCCAGCACTTTGGGATGCCAAGGTGGGCAGATCACTTGAGGTCAGGAGTTTGAGACCAGCCTGGCCAACACGATGAAACCCCATCTCTATTAAAAATAGAAAAATTAGCCAGGCATGGTGGCGCATGCCTGTAGTCCCAGCTACTCAGGATGCTGAGGCAGGAGAATCGCTTATATCCGGGAGGCGGAGGTTGCAGTGAGCTGAGATTGCGCCACTACACTCCAGCCTGGGCAAGACTCCAGCTCAAAAAAAAAAAAAAGAAAGAAAGAATCCCAGGTTAGAGGTACATGCAGCAGGGAACACATGCAGGGGGCCGCCCTGGTGAGGGGGCTCTGCAGAGAAGAGCAAGGGGCCCCCTGTCTCCCAGGGTCTGAGCCCCAGCGTGTGAGAGAGAGAGACCTCCTCCCAGGGACAGAGGCTGGACCTGGCTGAAATTCAGTTTCTATGATTGACACAGTCTTTATGGTGCTCCTTTTCCACCTTTCCCCCAATATTATTCCTTTTGGGATATTTTGTTTAGATGTCTTGATTTTGCCCACTGGGACCTCCTCTGCAGATGCCCAGAATTTTGTAACTGCTGGTTTATGTAACTGTCCTGCCCACCTTCCAGGGACCAGCCTGTCTTCCTTTTCAGCCTGCCTAGCACACAGCACAGCATGGCACAGAATAACTGCCAGTGAAGTTTTACTGAATGAATGTTAGAGAGGACATGAGATCGAAACCATCTGTGCTCTTAAGTAGAAAATGTCCCTTGTTGGCTGAGCACGGTGGCTCACACCTGTAATCCCAGCACTTTGAGAGGCCAAGGCAGGCGGATCCCAAGGTCAGGAGTTCGAGACCAGCCTGGCCAACATGGTGACACCCCGTCTCTACTAAAAATACAAAAATTAGCCGGGTGTGGTGGCACCTGCCTGTAGTCCCAGCTACTAGGGAGGCTGAGGCAGAAGTATTGCTTGAACCCGGGAGGCGGAGGTTGCAGTGAGCCGAGATTGCACCACTGCACTCCAGCCTGGGCGACTGGGTGAGACCCTGTCTTAAAAAAAAAAAAGAAAATGTCCCTTGTTAACTTCAAGGCTGGTTTCCAGAGAGAAGTAAAATTAAAAATCTACCTATATTGTCTCTTTCTTTTCTGGTAAGAGTGAACATTTGTGCAATATTAATGGAGAGTAATTCTGCAATATTTATCAAAATTCCACAGGCACCTCCACCGTGACTTAGCAATCTTACCCCTGGATCTATCAGGTGTGCACATGGGCACAAAGATTGAGGGCCAAGTGTGCTCTTTGCTTCATTATTTGTGACAGCATAAAAACAGCAATGAAGCAGAAGGCAACTCATGCTCATTAATAGGGAAAGTGGTTAGATAGATTATAATGCACACACAAATGGAATACTAAGTTGTAAACAATTACATTTCTGTTCACTTAATGTTAAGCAGACATGTATAAGAACTATTGCTAAGTGGTCCTTACCAGGCACTGAGCATGCACATGATGTGACACAGAGGATGAGAAAAAGTGCAGGTACACATGGGATAATAGGCTCTATTTACACACGTGCCCACAAACTAATATGCTATAAACACACGTGCCCACACAGTATCTTATATGCCATATACACACATGTCCACACACTATCTTATATGCCATATACACACATGTCCACAAACTGTCTTATATGCCATATACACATGTGCCCACAAACTGTCTTATATGCTATAAACACATGTGCCCACACAGCATGTTATATGCCATATACACACATGTCCACACACTATCTTATATGCCATATACACACATGTCCACAAACTGTCTTATATGCCATATACACATGTGCCCACAAACTGTCTTATATGCTATATACACACATGTCCGCATATTATCTTATATACTATATACACATGTGTCCACACACTGTCTTATATGCTATATACACACGTGCCCACACACTATCTTATATCCTATATACACATGTGCCCACACAGTATCTTATATGCCATATACATATGTGCCCACACACTATATTATTTCCTATATACACACGTGTCCACACGCTATCTTATATACCATATACACACGTGCCTGCACACTATCTTATGTGCCATAAACGCACGTGCCCACAATCTCATATGCCATATAAACACGTTCCCACACACTGTCTTATATGCCATATACACACGTGCCCACACACTATCTTATATGCCATATACACACGTGCCCACACACTATCTTATATGCCATATACACACGTGCCCACACACTATCTTATGTGCCATATACACACGTGCCCACACACTATCTTATATGCCATATACACACGTGCCCACCCGAGATCATATATGCTAATACACATGCCCACACATAATCCTATATGCTATATACACGACCACACAATATCATACATGCTATATACACACGAGCCCACCTGTGATGTGCCAATACATGTGCCCACACATAATCCTATATGCTATATACTTGTGACCACACAGTATCATACATGCTATGTACACATCTGCCCACACACTATCATATATGCTATATATGCATGTGCCCACAGTATCATACATGCTATGTACACATCTGCCCACACACTATCATACATGCTACATATATGTGTACCCACAGTATCATACATGCTATGTACACATCTGCCCACACACGATCATACATGCTATATATGTGTACCCACAGTATCATACATGCTATGTACACATCTGCCCACACACTATCATGCATGCTATATATATGTGTACCCACAGTATCATACATGCTATGTACACATCTGCCCACACGCGATCATACATGCTATATATATGTGTACCCACAGTATCATACATGCTATGTACACATCTGCCCACACACTATCATGCATGCTATATATATGTGTACCCACAGTATCATACATGCTATGTACACATCTGCCCACACTATCATACATGCTATATATGTGTACCCACAGTATCATACATGCTATGTACACATCTGCCCACACACTATCATACATGCTACATATATGTGTACCCACAGTATCATACATGCTATGTACACATCTGCCCACACACTATCATACATGCTATATATATGTGTACCCACAGTATCATACATGCTATGTACACATCTGCCCACACACTAACATGCATGCTATATATATATGTACCCACAGTATCATACATGCTATGTACACATCTGCCCACACACTATCATACATACTATATATATGTGTACCCACAGTATCATACATGCTATATATATGTGTACCCACACTATCATACATGCTATATATACGTGTACCCAGGGAATTTCCAGTGAGATGCACCAGATATTCACAACTGCTACCCCTGGGAATAGGACAAAGAAACAGACTTCCACATTTTGTTTTATACCATTCTGTTTGACGTTTTAAATAGCACTTAGTTTCATAACAAACATAGAAACGTTTTCTAAAACTTACTTGTATGGGAAAACATGGGTTTTGGTTCTCACAAGTCATCTGGCAGTCAGACCCTCCCCCGAAGGCAGCTTTGCTGGTGCTCTGTGGTGTGAACGCGATGTCGTGGTCGATGTATTGTCCCCATGCCATCAGGAGGTCAGAATAGCGGTCATCATCTGTGACAACCTCATTTGAAACTTGAATGACATGTCTTGTCACCTCCCGGACCTGGGTAGGAAGAGACCATTGGTCAGGACATAGGAGGACCCCGTGGTAGCAGAAAGATGACCCTTTGGGATCATGCACTTCCTGGTGTGGTTCTTGTTCACAGAGCTCCAGGTGCCCCTAGGAGATCTGTGCCCTGGAGTTAGGGCAGGAGGAGCATAAGCTTTGAAGACAGATGCCCCTGGACTTGAATCCCTGCCTTGATTTGTGGTGGCTGGAGGGCCTGGCATTAACTTCCCTCAGCCCTCACTTCCTCATCTGTAAGTTAATATGGAAAGGTTGAGCTTTCAGTGTTGTTGTGGGGATTAAGTGAAGAGTCATTGACAAAACAGCCAGGCTTTAGGACAGTTGAGTTCATGACTCAGAGGGCAGAGCCTCCAGCCACAAGCGAGTACTCCTTGGCCTTGAAGCCTAAGGGAGTTGCTTGGCTGGATTTCCACGTGGGTTGGGAGGAGTGACTCCCCTTCCTTTCCATTCTCCACGCAGACATCTGTTGCTGTTATGTTTAACACCGTTCCGCCAGGGCATCTGGAGAGCAGACGACAAGCTTCCCTGTCTCACAGGCTAGGTCCAGATGGAGAGGAATTTTGTCCTGGATGGATCTTACCCTGAGCCTGCCCTACCTGATGTGGATGATTTATGTGATGAGATTTGGATTGGATTTTGGGCCTAGAGTTGGTGCCGTCATGGGATGGGGTTTGGGGGAACCTTGGAATGGGGTGAGCATGTTAGGCATGTGGACTGGGTATGAATCTTTGAGGGTCAGTGGGTCATCTGTGGAGGCAGAAAAATGCCTCTCGCACAACATCCATTCGCTAATCCTTGGAGCCTGCTGATGCGATTACATTAAGGGCCTTGAGATGGGAAGGTTGTCCTGGGTCTCCACGAGTGTCCAATCCAGTCACATGGGTCCTTAAAGTTGGAGGCCCTCTCCTGACGGGAGGTGGAGATGTGACTCCAAACAAAGGCACAGAGACAGACAACATTGCTGGCTTGGAAGGAGGGGCCATGAGCCAGGGGATGCAGGCACCTCCAGAAGCTGGAATTGCCAGGAAAGGGATCTCCCCTGGAGCTTCCAGAAAGAACCAGCTCTGCAACACCTTGATTTCAGCCAAGTGAGACATCAGACACTGATTGTGAAATTGGAAGATCACATTTATGTTGTTTTCAGCCACTAAATTTGGAGCAATTTGTCACAGCTGGGTAGAAAACCAACACAATTTCATTTAAAGACACTTGAACTCTGATTTTTCTCAATAGTGAAATAATTCTGAGCAAATATGGGTTTACAGAATCACAATCTCATAATACTGAGAGCTTAAAAAGCCTTGGGGGTTGAACTGGTCCACTGTTGAGCATAAGGTGGGTAAGACAGTGTTATCCCACTTTAGGGATTGTCCAACTGAGGCCAAGAAGGCAAGCGACTTGCAGGAAGCCAGTGGGAGCAGAGCGTGAGCCCAATTGCCTTGTCCCTGCTGCTGGGAGCACCGAGCCGTCTTCAGTGACACAGCCTCCAGCTCTACCCAGGGCTTCTCACGGCTTCTGGGAACACCAGGTCCTCTTACTAAAAGCCCGCCTAGGAAAATTGCCTAGGTAAAGTTGTTGGCTTTCGTAGGGGAACTCTGTGCTGGTGTATCTGTCCACAGCTGGTCTGAGTCAGACCTGAGTCCCACCACCTGCGCTCTTTGGGCTAAACAGAACATCCACTGATGTATTTCTAGATAATTTCATCACTGAACATGGCACAAGAGCAAACAGGCTGGCTTATTCATTGAAATGAGTAGTTAAATTACAAGCAAAATGACCCATTTTTTGACCAAATAGACCAGTAGATTCTACTAGGCTATGAGTGTCCAGCAAATAAATTCACCTCTGGGAGTAAAGCAGTCATCTTTACATCAAGTGGATTGCTGAACTCATAATCATCTTGGGATGTACCTAGCCCACATGATGGATAAAGGAATTTATCTGAAAACACTGAAGTGATTTTCAGGAACAGAAACGTTAGGGTTGAGAAAACTTAATTTAAATCTGCAGGGTTCCACTCACTAAGAGATTTCAATCTCCCTGAGCCTTGGCTCCTAAGCCATAGGGCAGAAACAGTGATTGCTACATCAAAGGGAGGCTGGGAGGATCTGAAGGGATTGCACGCAGCACCCAGCACGAGCAAGAACCCAGTAAAAGGCTATTTCCCTCCCTCAGCATCACAGGACCCAATCTTAGTCCAGGATAGTAGCGTTCTGAGTACCCACCGGGGGCAGTGGGAACCCGTTGTACAAGAAGCCGGGGTTCCAGCCTCGGGGCTGACTGAAGCCGTCCTCATAGACTGGAGGGAGCCATCGTGCCAGGGCCGTGTTGGAGGCGCCCCATCTGGGGTGGTCTCTGTGGAGACAAATGCAAGGATGTGTTTGAGATGGGGGAGAAGAACACAGAAGCAGTGAGTTCCAGATATAAGACACCATTCTCAGGGAGAATAAGTGGGGCCTCTCCGGAGGCCCAAGGGGCACAGCTCCCCAGAAGACCCGAAAGGCCTCCTGGAGGCCCAGGTCATGACTGGCTTCAAGGGAGCTCATTCCAGAGGCTTGGTTCCCACAGGCACCCTCTCCCGAGCTCAGCACATGCTGTCTGGAGGTGGCTGCCTGCAGGGTTCCTTCCCACTCCCCTGTTTTCCGAAGGAGGGTCTCCCACCCTTCTAGAATGTACCAGGGGCAGTTCTCTGGAGGACAGAAACTTCTGGTACTCCAAACAAAGAGATCATTTGAAATCCTGTGGCATAAAACATCCTTTAATCAAAGCACCATGAAGCCACCAGGGTGTCGCGCCTGTTCCTGCCCGTGTGATTGTCCAGGTGAACTTGTGGGAACTGAGGAAGTTGCTGGTTTTCTGATTTCAGAAGTGAGCGGGTTGTCAAAGGAACCATTAATAAATGAATTTGAATTAAAATAAAGTAAGTTAAAAATAAAGTTAAGTCTCTCCTGAGAGAGAGAGAGAGTCAGTTGTATTTGGCTGTTTGATTTGGCGATGACAATGGCTTCAGCCAATAGGCTAGATGGTGAAGTTTCCCATAAGTAGGCTGGTCTGCAGTTTTGTTCTATTGGTCAAAATATATTCTGACAAAAATGTATTTGAAGTGCATGATAAGGTAAAGGTGTGTTGAATATTTTGATTTCACACTTAGTTCCGAGTGTACTGTGTTAAGCAAGGTGCCCCTAAGTTGAAGGGGTGTAGGCACAATTAACAGTCACTTGATATGTCTCAGAGCATCTTCTAGAAACTGAGGAAATAAAAGACTAAAGATTGGTAACTAATCCTTTGTGCAAATGAGGTATTTTCCAATATTTTGTTTAGAAATTTGGAGGACAATGTTATTGAATTGATTGCTGATACATGAATAAAAATCATTTTAATGATAGCTCATTATATGTTCATTTTCTTCTATATCTCAGAAGGAGTTTTGAGGGCCAGATGGCATTCCTATGGCAAAACTGTTCCCAGCGACATAGTCACAGGAGCAGGTTTCTAGGCACCTTCCATCTGCAAAGGTAAAAATAATCACAGGGTTGCTGCTGAACTGTCTCATCTATAGTATGTAGGGCAACCGTATAATTCCTAACCAAAGTGGAATACTTCTGAGGAGACAGGAGCACTATTAGTTATTAATAATTTCCTGGGACAGAAGGCATAAATAGGAAGGATCTCGGGTAACCAGGGTGCATGGCCCCTTGGCCCACAGGTGATGTTCAGCCAACTGATGAAGGAACTAACTGAAACTCCACCCATCTCATCAATAAACTAATTCCAATAAATATTTATCTCTATGCATAATAATTACCAACATCTGTCATAGATCCGTGCTTATTAAATCGTGTTCTAATAATGTGTAAAAAATAACTCAATCTTGAAGAAAACAATGAACACTGAGGCCCTTGTGCTCACTGAACATTTTCTAAATATGAAATTTAAATTTATAAAATACATAAAAAGTAACATGCAAAATAAAATACATATTCAAGTATATAAATGCATGGTAAGACTATATGAATGTGAAGAATATATAAATGAATGTATCAAATATATAACATGAGCATACATATCTGTAGAGGATAGGTAAAGAAATATGTAAAACTTATTAAAAATAAAGGATTTCTCAAGTATAAAATATTCTACATTTGGAAGAAAATGGCTCAATTTATAAGGCATAAATTATTCTGCATTTGGAAGGAAATATGAGAGAATTAGAATATAAAAGTCAATTCAAAGAGAAAAAAATAGAATTTTTTTGTGGAAAAAAGTAGGTTCCTTTTGTTACAAATAAATACAGATTGTTTTGGGTCTAACATTGTCATGATATCCGGGTTCCATTGGTATCTGTCAGTCACGCCCGTGTGGGAACAACCAGCACGGAGGTTCTGTGTGTGGCAGCTGCAGAGTCATGCAACACAACCAGGGCTGAGTCTGCAGAGTCTGAAGCTGCATCATGGACAACTGGTATTGGGAGGCTTTGCAAGGCACATGACAAAAGAGTCAGGCGTGACTAGGATGCAGGCTTTGAAAATCCTCCCATGTATCTGATATGTACGCACTTAAAAAATACAAGGAGTGAAGTCTACAAGAATCGTGACAAGATAAATAACTTTTTAAAACATTTGGAGTGTTTGGGAATATAAATATTTAAAAATTAGTGGTTTTGTCATAAATTACCATTGCCTTTATGGTTATAACATACATTAGTCATTCGTATTAAATGTGACCGATTTAGATGTTCTGCACAGGAATGAAAGGACTAAGGTTCTACTAAGAACTGTTTGTAACCTGGGCAACATTTGTGAAGGAAAGATCCATTTTGTCCTTGAGGTAGACTGAAGAGCTGAGACTCTTCCAGTTTAAAAGTCTCTAAGGCCACCACGCAGCTCCGTACATTAGAGGAGAGGAGCTTTTATTCTTACTGTTGTGCACCAGTTGCTACCTCATCCAGGACACATTGGATGATGAGTGGTCAGCAGCGGCAGGAGGCTTGGGGACATGGTTACTTCTCTATGTCTGCAGGGACCATAAGGGGAGAATAATTCTGTTATTAATACTTCATTAATCTCCAGCACACCAAAGTGGCTCAATTTGCAAAAATGTATGGGAGAGTAATGCATATAATCAGCTGCAATACGTCAGCAACTGAAGATTGGAAAGATTGCTTTAATAAAGTGTTCAGATTCGTTATGGTTGGTTTGTCTTTATTGAAATTCCATAAAGTATGGCTCATAGGGAGGTGTTAGATTACTCAATTAAAAATAATGTTAATTTAACTGCTTAAGCAGTGATTTTTTTTGCTGATTGACTTTTATATGTCAGCAGTTCACTAGGACATTACAATGGCTCAAGGGCACTCACAGACGTTTGTTGTGGACCCTCCGCAAATGTGTCACCTGACCTTCACGGTCAGCAGGTCAGCAGGACTGAGAAGGGTCCCTCTGAGACTTTGATCAGCTCCTGTTGGAAAGATCCTTTCCCAGTGGAAATCTATTGTACCACACTGTTCCTTTCTTAGATCTGAATTAATGGCAGCATTGGAAAAAGGCTCATAAAGCTGACAAAATGAACAAAGAGAAACATTTCTGGAGGAGAGTTTTATGAGGGAGACTGAGGTCTGTGCTCCTGCTGAGGCTCCGAGTCACTCTGATTTCCCTGGGACCCTAGTTCCCCTCTCCCAGGCACCTGGCACTGGAGACTTTGTGATTTCTGAATTCCAAAAAGAAGAAATTCTAAACTTCCATCTTGAAGAGCGCTTGAGCATAAAGCTGTGGACTGAGGCCGCAAGACACAGGTCAATATGTTTGCCAGGTATGGCCATCCAGTAACAGCACATGGACACGCTGAGTGCCAGAGATGTGTGCCGCCCATGAAAAGAAGCAAACAGCAATGCAGTGTGAAATGCTGGGAGAGAAACTGTGGACGAAGTCAGCTTTCCACTCCTGTAACGGCACCTCTTTCTCAGCGGAGCAGCAGCGGGACACGGGATGCCCTCATCCTGCTGGGCCAGGTGTGCGAGGATTCATTTTGTCCCCAAAAACGCCTGACACCCTGTCAGGTGGCCAGAAGTATGAGGAAACTCAGCGGTGATTTTTCCCGTCTCCTGCTGGAGCTACTTGATTGAAGGCAATTAAGACCAGTCAGTTTGTGAGCTGGGATTATCACCAGCATGATCCCTGAGGGACATTTGAACCCTCAGAGGAAAACCCTTCAAAAGATGCAAATGCTTTCTATAATCGGCATGAGCTCAGCTTTTTCCAAAAACTTTGAAAATCTTGTTTATTCTGGCATCGTTTATACCCATCATATGTTCTGCGATTTCATAAGACACCAAGGTCAATTCCACCTCTTTTTTTCTTAAAGACTAATACATTTATTTGACGTCAAAGGTATTTTCTGTTTTTTTATCACTTCAAGTGTCAATATTGCTAAATGATATCTTAGTGCCATTGGTGGATTTACAAGTGCAACTTAAACTCTTAATAGACACACATTTGTTCTTTAGCAAACTGTTTTGAGCAATTGAACTTTCAATCTACAGGCACTTCTAAAAAGGAGACGATTGTGTCAAGGAGCTTCATTCCAGCAAAACTCCATCAGGTCTCTCCCTGCTGGATAATTTCATGAATTAGGTAAAAATGCAAATGAAAAACAAAGTGAGAGGGAAAAAAGGTGACTACGAATGTGAATTCAAGGCAAATACATTGAAAAAAAGAAAATAGCTGTCAGACATCAGATATGAGGTGTTTTTAACACAAAATATCTGGATGGGAGATGCAACATTGAATTTATACTTTTGATGATTTTTAGGCAAATGACTATAGAGAATGATATACCAAGTTACATATAGCAAATTCTATGTTAAACCCAGGTAGATCTTAAGGGTTCTTCCAATAACTTAAATACCCATATGGAATTTTCCTTTCAGACCTGATCGTCTCCCCCAGAATTGTTCATGGGCTTTAAGGCTGTATTGGACAGAACGTGAACTCCACGAAAGAGGCTTAGTGCAGAATGGCCGCTGGAGGAAGTTGGCTTTTTGATCCCTGGTGGGATCGCTTCCTGCAGCTCACAATGTCCATGCCACGTTCGTTCTCTGTGCATCCGGGAGGGAAGCACATTTGGGAAGCCGGGCGTCAGGGGAACCCAGTCCCGGCTTGAGTCTGTCCCGCCTGGATGGAAATTTCACCTGTGGCCTGGCTCCATCCATCATCGAGGGTGTGAGCTACCTCGAGGGCCAGGTCCTTTAGAGCTCACCACTCACTTGATGTTATTCCTGCACCGTGAACAAATGTGCTCTGATTCTGTGATGCCGTGATATTCCCATGTCAATCAATCTCCAGCCATTTACCTGCAGGAGCCTCCGACCACTGCTCTCGTGGAAAAACACACTGGGCTGTTTATGACATTCTGTGGTCAATGCCATGGCCAGGAGCCAAGAGGTCCGATGCCGAGGAGTGGCTGAGAGGTGACAGTCGCCGTAACTCTTACGATGGCCGGCTGTGGACAGCGTGCAAGGAGCCTGACAAGTGCTGCCTTTCAACCAGAAACAACCCTGCGAGGTGGGTGTTCTTCCCACATTACAGATGAGGAAGGGGATGGCTCTGAGGATGAAGAGAGTCACGGAAGTGACTCAGGCGGGGAAGGGAGCAGCCGACCCTCGGGTCGGGAGGGCTCGGCAGAGGCTCAGGGAAGAGGAAAGGAGGCGGACCTGACATCTGCGAGCCCAGCCGATGCGTGCAGGAGCTGCATGCAGGAGCTGCGTGGAGCACAGCGAGATGCAGACCACAGGCTCGGCTCCCACGCGAGGCCGGAGGAAGTCTATGAGTGTCCTTGTCTGGGAGTGGGTACTACACAAATGTGTGGATGCCGGCAGGGCACAACATGCAGTCTCCTGGAAACCTCTGGAGGCAGGAGCAGCCCCTGCCTCCAATCCCGGCTCCTCCCAGGCCAGGCAGGACCCCTGTGCTGTCAGGCAGGAGGGGCTGAAGCCGGCCTCTCTTCCTGCTGTACAGAATCCCGTGAGGCTTCTGCCACCTGCGCCCCAGTGCGAGCTGCCCCAACAAGGTGTTCTGATGTCTGCTGGGTCCCTGTGTCTTTTTCTCAGTAGGCTTAAAGAGAAGTGTGGCTAATTGTTTAACTCAGGTTCTCTCCCTCTCTCTCATAATTGTGTACATAATGGTAAGAGTCTAGCAGTCCTCGCCCACACACATGTGGCTACTCGATTCATGATATAGGCATGGGTGCAGTTCACTGGGTAAAGGATGGTTCTGAATAAATATCATATACACATGCTTTCACACACACATATCTATACATACATACACGCACACCCCTCTATATAGACCTGTGTTTATTATAGATATATACACACACACATACAAATCTACCTATATATACATGCCTCTATATATACACAAACACTTATAGATATTGTCAGTGAAGAGTCAAGCTCTGTAAAATAGTTGAAGAGATTTATTCTGAGCCAGATATGAGTGACCAATGGCCAATGATTCAGCCCTCAGGAGATCCTGAGAACTTGTGTCCAAGGTGGTTGAGGCACAGCTTAGTTTCATATATTTTAGGGAGACACAAGACATCAATCAAATACATGTAAGATGTACACTGGTTCAGTACAAAAAGGCAGGACATCTGGAAGCGGGGGCTTCTAGGCCAAAGGTAGATTCAAAAATTTTCTGAGTGGCAATTTTTTGAAAGAGTAAAGTTATCGTCTAAGGACTTAAGACTGTCTGGGTTAAGACACAGGTTGTGGAGACCAAGGTTTCATCGTGCAGGTGAAGTCTCCAGGCAGCAGGCTTCTGAGAGAAGAGACTGTAAATGTTTCTTCTCAGAGTTAAGAAGTCTGTTCTAGCAGAAATTCCAAAAGGGAGGAGGGTGTCATGAGGCACGTCTGACCTCACTCTCCCCATCACGGTCAGATTAGTTTTTCAGGTTAGCTTTGGAACACCCTTGCCAACAGGAGGGGTCAATTCAGATGATCGCAAGACTTAGAATTTTATTTTTGGTTTACAATACACACACACACATACACACACACACACCCCTCATGGTTGCCACCTCATATGTTGCAGAAAACATAAAATGAGATGGGTCACAGATCTAAATGTGACATGTAAAACAATAACATTTTCAGCAGAAAACACAAGAAAAATACCTTCACATTCTTCAGAGAAAGCAAGATTCTTAAACATAACAAAAAAGTTTTCTTTCCATGAAATAAGTAATTGATAAAGGGGACTTCATTAAAAATATGAACAACGTTTCTTCAAAAGACAGCATGGAGAGTGAAAAGGCCAATCTCAGCTGGGAGAAGACATTTGTAAAACATATTTCTCACTGAAGACATATTTAGAAAATATGAGCATCTATAAATCAAAAAAGATTCATTAAAAAATGGGAAAAATGTTTGAACTGGCACATCCCGAAAAAGAGTCTCCAAATGGCCAATGAATGTATTTTAAAAGTGCTCAAGACAATTAGTCACCAGGAAAATGTGAAGTTAAACCACAGGAAATGCCACCCTCCCCTCAAGAAGGGCCAAAATGAAAGGGATCACAGTGACGGGGATTGGTGAGGGCTGTGGGGCTCTTACACTTTGCTCCTGGGAATGCAGATTGGAGCAGCCACTTGGAAGCATTGACCAGTGCTCAGCAGAGAGGCGCCCATGCCTGCCCTGTAACGAAGAGTGTCTCCCTCAGCAAGGCAGGAGCAAATAAATCCTGGAGGTGGAGAAGCCAGGCCCAGGGGTTACCATCTAACTTCCTTCCTATAAAAGCCAGGTCAGGGAAAACTAACTATGGTGATGAAGATCAAAGCAATGGTCACCTCTGGGGAGATGTCAAAACCTAGGAGGGGCCAGAAGGCAGCCCTCTGGGGTGTACAGTTCTCGATCTGCACCTGGGGGCTTCTCATCTGGGGGTGCAGGCCCATGGAAGACTCGGCCACCTGTGCCTCCAGATTCACCCCCAAGCCCTGCATAAGTCGTACCCCAATTTAATAGCAGGAATCCACTCATGGTCACTATGGCGATGGATTCTATCCACTGTGCCACTTATCCAACATGGTACCATATCCAACATGGTACCTCCTGCAGCAATGACGGGATCATACAAACAGGAAGGAGCCTGCCCCATTCCCTTCCAACATGGTGCCTCCTGCAGCAGTGACTGGATCATACAAACAGGAAGGAGCCTACCCCATTCCCTTCCAACATGGTACCTCCTGCAGCAATGACTGGATCATACAAACAAGAAGGAGCCTGCCCATTCCCTTCCAACATGGTACCTCCTGCAGCAATGACTGGATCATACAAACAAGGAGCCTGCCCCATTCCCTTCCAACATGGTACCTCCTGCAGCAATGACTGGATCATACAAACAAGAAGGAGCCTGCCCCATTCCCTTCCAACATGGTACCTCCTGCAGCAATGACTGGATCATACAAACAAGAAGGAGCCTGCCCATTCCCTTCCAACATGGTACCTCCTGCAGCAATGACTGGATCATACAAACAAGGAGCCTGCCCCATTCCCTTCCAACATGGTACCTCCTGCAGCAATGACTGGATCATACAAACAAGAAGGAGCCTGCCCCATTCCCTTCCAACATGGTACCTCCTGCAGCAATGACTGGATCATACAAACAAGAAGGAGCCTGCCCATTCCCTTCCAGCATGTTGCCTCCTGCAGCAATGACTGGATCATACAAACAAGAAGGAGCCTGCCCATTACCTTCCAACAGGGTACCTCCTGCAGCAATGACTGGATCATACAAACAAGAAGGAGCCTGCCCATTCCCTTCCAACACAGTGCCTCCTGCAGCAATGACTGGATCATACAAACAAGAAGGAGCCTGCCCATTCCCTTCCAACATGGTGCCTCCTGCAGCAGTGATTGGATCATACAAACAAGAAGGAGCCTGCCCATTCCCTTCCAACATGGTGACTCCTGCAGCAGTGACTGGATCATACAAACAGGAAGGAGCCTGCCCCATTTCCTTCCAACATGGTGCCTCCTGCAGCAATGACTGGATCATACAAACAAGAAGGAGCCTGCCCCATTCCCTTCCAACACAGTACCTCCTGCAGCAATGACTGCATCATACAAACAAGAAGGAGCCAGCTCCATTCCCTTCCAACATGGTACCTCCTGCAGCAATGACTGGATCATACAAACAAGAAGGAGCCAGCTCCATTCCCTTCCAACACGGTGCCTCCTGCAGCAGTGATTGGATCATACAAACAAGAACGAGCCTGCCCCGTTCCCTTCCAACATGGTACCTCCTGCAGCAATGACTGGATCATACAAACAAGAAGGCGCCTGCCCCATTCCCTTCCAACATGGTGCCTCCTGCAGCAATAACTGGATCATATAAACAAGAAGGAGCCTGCCCCATTCCCTTCCAACATGGTGCCTCCCGCAGCAGTGACTGGATCATACAAACAAGAAGGAGCCTGCCCCATTCCCTTCTAACATGGTGCCTCCCGCAGCAATGACTGGATCATACAAACAAGAAGGAGCCAGCTCCATTCCCTTCCAACATGGTGCCTCCTGCAGCAGTGATTGGATCATACAAACAAGAACGAGCCTGCCCCGTTCCCTTCCAACATGGTACCTCCTGCAGCAATGACTGGATCATACAAACAAGAAGGCGCCTGCCCCATTCCCTTCCAACATGGTGCCTCCTGCAGCAATAACTGGATCATATAAACAAGAAGGAGCCTGCCCCATTCTCTTCCAACATGGTGCCTCCCGCAGCAATGACTGGATCATACAAACAAGAAGGAGCCAGCTCCATTCCCTTCCAACATGGTGCCTCCTGCAGCAGTGACTGGATCATACAAACAAGAACGAGCCTGCCCCGTTCCCTTCCAACATGGTACCTCCTGCAGCAATGACTGGATCATACAAACAAGAAGGAGCCTGCCCTTTCCCTTCCAACATGGTGCCTCCTGCAGCAATGACTGGATCATACAAACAAGAAGGCGCCGGCCCCATTCCCTTCCAACATGTTGCCTCCTGCAACAATGACTGGATCATACAAACAAGAAGGAGCCTGCCCATTCCCTTCCAACACGGTGCCTCCTGCAACAATGACTGGATCATACAAACAAGAAGGAGCCTGCCCCATTCCCTTCCAACATGGTACCTTCTGCAGCAATGACTGGGTCATACAAACAAGAAGGAGCCTGCCCCACTCCCTTCCAACACGGTGCCTCCTGCAGTAATGACTGGATCATACAAACAAGAAGGAGCCTGCCCCATTCCCTTCAAACACGGTACCTCCTGTGGCATTGCCTACACCATACAACAAGAAGGAGCCGGCTCCATTCCCTTCCAACACTGTGAGACACAGTGGTTTACTGCAGTAGTTCATCAGATCAAAACTCAAGAAATAACACAATTTTTTGTTTGTTTGTTTTAGAGATGAGGTATTGCTTTGTTGCCCAGGCTGGTCTTGAGCTCCTGGGCTCAAGCGATCCCCCGACCTCAGCCTCCGAAAGTGCTGTCTTTACAGGCGTGAGCCAACGTGCCCAGCAAGAAATAATGCAATTTTTCAAAGAAAAATCACACCTCTTCAAGAATCAAGACTCAGACTCTTTGAAGAAAGGGGCTTCAAAGGTGGCCATTATTTACATAATCAATCACTGACCTTTGTATCATTATTGCTCACAAATTATTTCTGCTGCATTGTCTCACTTCAGCCTCATGACAACCCTAGAAATGAGCATCACTATCTTTGCCAGTTTCCAGGTGCAGAGAATTTGAGAAACTAAGCAAGACATGAAGTCTAAGCAGCTTGTAACTGACAAAGTGGTGGCTGGAATTTCGTCTTCTATTTCAAAATACAATGTCCTTTCCATTATGCATGGGAATGTGAGCACTTTCTCAAGAACACACAGAGAAGTTCTTATCACATGTATCAATCTAAAACTGAAGGCAAATTCTATATGAAGTATCTAGGTGAATTCATCATATTTATCATATAATGAATACTGTCTTACAGTATATAATATATATTTGTATTTCTGCTTATGAATAATCATATGTAATACACTGTCTAACATTGCATGTGGTAAGATAGTCCATTGATTTAGACCACAGAGCAAACAGTGGCTCGTGGCCCCTTTGTTTTCTGGCTGTTGTGGCACACAGATCTCCACAATGACCCCACTGCCTCTGGAGGACTGTCCGTGAGTAATTCCACCCTGATTGCATCTATTTCCAGTAGCTGAGAGGCTTCATTTCTTCAGTAGCCCTCCCCTACTCCATCTGTATTAGTCTGTTTTCATGCTGCTGATAAAGACATACCTGAGTCTGAGAAGAAAAGGAGGTTTAATGGACTTACGATTCCACGTGGAGGCCTCACAATCATGGTGGAAGGCAAGGAGGAGCAGGTCATGTCTTACATGGATGGCGGCAGGCAGAAAGAGAGCTTGTGCAGGGGAACTTCCCCTTATAAAGCTGTCAAATCTCGTGAGACTTATTCACTATCACGAGAACATCACAGGAAAGACCTGCCCCCATGATTCAATTACCTCCCACCTGGTCCCTCCCACAACATGTGGGAATTCAAATGAGATTTGGGTGGGGACACAGCCAACTATATCACCATCCCGCCATGGAGCACTTGATTTTTAAAATAGAATTTGTCTTATCTCTAGGCTGATGCCAAGCTACACACTAAAACCCAAATTTCTGCAGGACATCCTCAGGCCCTGGGGATTCTGTTCTCAGCCAATGTGACTGCTTCTAGCAAAGGCAACCTGCAAGTGACGTGACCCCTGCCCACACCCACCTCCTACCCCCCAGCTCCTAGACTTCTATAAAAACACACAGGTGAGGAACAACAGCCTCAGCTGGCTGGGAGTGCAGCAGAGTCGAGGACCCTGATCTGAGTCCAGGATGATGAAGAGGTCTCCACAGGTTGGTAACAGAAACAGAAGGAAGCTGGAAATCCTTTAAATGATACTACCAAAACGCCTTCACCCCAAATGCACAGTTATCAACAGCATTCCTAATATCTTAAGCTTTATATTTAGAGATTCTAAAATGTTTAAAGGGACCAGCTTGCCGTGCATGCACACACACCCCCTTGTTAAAAAATAGGGGCTTATGCAGAGAACTGATAATTTCCTTTATGACAAAGTGTAAAGCAAAACAAACTCAAGCCCCATTCTCTTCCAACATGGTACGTCCTGCAGCATTGGCCACACCGTACCAACAAGAAGGAGTCTGCCCCATTCCCTTCCAACACGGTAGCTCCTGCGGCACTGACTACACCACACAAACAAGAAGGACCCTGCCCTATTCCCTTCCAACGTACTGCCTCCTGCGGCACTCACTACACTATGCAAACAGGAAGGAGCCTGCTCCATTCATTTACAACTGGTAGCTCCTGCAGCAATGACTAGATCATACAAACAAGAAGGACCCTGCCCTGTTCCCTTCCAACATAGTGCCTCCTGTGGCACTGACTACACCATGGAAACAAGAAGGACCCTGCCCTATTCCCTTCCAACATAGTGCCTCCTGTGGCAATGACTAGATCATACAAACAAGAAGGACCCTGCCCTGTTCCCTTCCAACGTAGTGCCTCCTGCGGCACTGACTACACCATGGAAACAAGAAGGACCCTGCCCTACTTGCTTCCAACGTAGTACCTCCTGCGGCAATGACTACACCATAAAAACAGGAATGAGCCTGCTCCATTCACTTACAACATAGTACGTCCTGCGGCACTGACTAGATCATACAAACAGGAAGGAGCCTGCCCATTCTCCTCCAACATAGTGCCTCCTGCGGCAATGACTACACCATAAAAACAGGAATGAGCCTGCTCCATTCACTTACAACATAGTACGTCCTGTGGCACTGACTAGATCATACAAACAGGAAGAAGCCTGCCCATTCTCTTCCAACATAGTGCCTCCTGCGGCACTGACTACACCATATAAACAAGAAACAGCCTGCTCCATTCCCTTCTAAAGTGGTAGCTCCTGTGGCACTGACCACTTCATACAAACAAGAAGTACAGGTGTGGCATTAGCTACACCACACAAAGGAGAAGCAGCCTGCCCCCTTCTCTTTCAACAAGGTAGCTCCTGCGGCACCGACTACACCATACAAACAAAATGTCCAGGTGAAATGGTGAAAGAAAAATCATTCTTTTCCACTACTTGTTAAGTAATTTTATGTGATACGTCCTAGGCAATTAGGAAAATACCAACAAAGGAAAAACAAGGCCTTAGAAACCCTGCCATCCACTTGTGACATGCAGACATCACACCATAAAGCAAGAAAACTAGTAGAAATGGATGAGTTTTAAAATCCACCATTTCGACATTTAGAATTTCAAAAGTTAATTCCAACTAACATTTGTCTTAAAGATGTCATTGCAGCCAACACCCAAAGGTCTCTTTGGAATGCAGGAAATGCAGCACGGTGGAAACGCAGCACATTGGAAATGCAGCACAGTGGAAATGCAGCACATTGGAAACGCAGCACAGTGGAAACGCAGCACATTGGAAATGCAGCACCAGCCCAGACAAAGATGGGAAGGTGTGGGTGGGGAACCAGGTGCTGGTGACTGAGAGGGACGCCGAAGCGGCTTAGGAGACCGCTGGGGGGGAACTTAGCAATTTAGTGGGTATGGGGAAGCTCTGGGAACTCAGGGCTGAGCAAGGCAAAAGTTAGGATCGGGGAGGCAGAGACACACACATGCCTTTGGGGTGGTTCTTGGGCACAGGTGCAGAAGAGGGGACATCCCTCAAGGCAGGGGACCATCCAGAGGCTAAGGTGAGGGACCGCCACCCAGATGGGGAGGATGGCGAGGAACTCACAGTGGGGCATCAGAGGGTCTCCATGTCTGGTGACATTACTCAGCAACATGGTGAGGGGGAGAGGGGGAGTCTCTGGGCAGGCAACTCCAGAGACAGCAGCGACCTGGGGTCTGATGACCACGAGGCTGTATCTTACCAACGGCCTGAGATGCTGGGAGAGGTTTTGTGGAAGATGCAAAGAGGTAGGCTCCAAGTGGCTAAAAGTCTGCTTGTTTGGGCTATTTTTATCACAATTGGGCATGAGTAAATTTGAGCTTGGTCTTGGTGGGCTTTGGCACTAACAGGCCTGCAGAGAAAAAATAAACCACCCAGGGGCCAAGGGTCAGGGGCCCTCTGTGGCTCACTTTTATAACAACAAGTGACCGATTTCTGAGCAGATGTTTTATTTTTGGTGGAATACAATGTGTGAAGCCTTGAACGTAGGAGATTTTAGATCCAGATGCTGTGAATTCTTAATGAAAACTGTAGCTGTCACCACAGAAGGAGAGAAACCAGCTCAGATCTAAGTGTCCCCAGATCACAGCTCCCAGTGCCAATGTCATTGTGTGGTCAGCAGAGATTCTCCCAGGAGCGTCAGTGGAGCCCGCCCAGCAGCTGGGGCAGAGACGCCCAAGACAGCAGCAGGGCCTTTCAGAAGGGCCGAGCAGGAACTCACTGCTGCCGGCTGAGGCCCTGGTCTTGAGGTTGTTAAAATGTAAACTTAGGCACAATACATTTTTTAAAGAGTTTTTTTTGAGTGATCATGATTTATGAATCAGGAAGCATCAAACCAAAGAAAGGTTCAGGCTCTACTGCAGGACCCAGGGGCAGGCTTTGCAGGTGGATGTAGACGTCATTGGAGAAAAGCTTTGACTGGCTTCAGTTTCGCATTATTTGGTCTGTCCTGCTGGAAGGTTCCTAGTTAAACAGGTTAGTTGGCAGTTTCGGAATGGTCGGGCTTATATTTCATTTTTCTTTAATCCAGGCATTTGCAAAAAAAAAAAAATCTCCAGTTAAGTTTCTCTTCTGTTTGCAAATCAAGCAAGATTTAGATCATGTGTGAGGCCTACTGGCTTTGCTCGGGGATTCCCCAAGCACTGTAATTCACCCTCCACTGCAATTTGCTTTAAGGATGCCCACAATGTTGCACATGGCTGAATTCATCATCCCCCTGACGTGGAGGAGGGACGTGGGGCAGGGTGGGGGTGGGTGCGGGGTGGCCCCTGGGTCGACCTCCGTAGGGAGAGCCATCAGAATGCACCTGAGGTCTGGGTCATGGCTGACAGACAGAAGGCAGCAGGCAGAAAAGGAAATGGAAAAAAGTTAGGAGGTCTCAAGGAAAACCTAGAACCCAAGGAGCTCCATCACGGACCCGTCTGGTGAAAGTGCTTCGGGCCACGGAGAGTCCCAGACTTGTTAACGCTGTTTAAGACACGCTAGAGGTGTTGAAAACATATGGAAAGTATGACTCGCTGATTCTTAAGATAATTGTGCTTAGGAATGCAGAATTCAATGTCTTATATTTCTTTAATAAAATCAGAAGTATGAAACCCATTCAGAGAGCAGCCCCGCCCCCACATCTCCAACGCCACTGTCCCCCGGGATCCCCACCCTCAACATGTACCTGCAGGTTAGACCCCACCCTGTCCTTCTGAAGACCCTGCTCCTCCCCGTGTAGTCCAAGCCATCTCCGCTCCGGCTTCTGACTCAACAGTGCACCTACCCCCTGCCCTCCTCCACCCAGGCCCTCCAGCCCCATCCCCTCCTCCATCCAGGCCTGGTCCCTCCAGCCGTGCATCCCACCAGCCATCTCAGTGTCCCCATACTCCCAGGCATCATCTCCTGTGCATCCTTTGTCTACATCTATGTCTCCCACTGAGCTCTGAGGACAGGACACGTGCCATCTCCACCTCTGAGCCCACTTCCACGGGAAGGCACAGACCCCCCCCCAGGCTTCAGGGCAGGAGGGGTGGACAGCAGCCTCCTGTGTGGCCCTGACCCATCTCTGCGTTCAGCACAGGCTGCCTCTTCCAGCCGGGGCTCCGCAGTCCTAAGATCAGATCCTCACACATGGCCAGGTTATGCATTCCTGCTGTGGGCTTAACAAACAAGCTCTTACAGCTCAAAGAATTGAAACAAACTGCCCTCTGATAGGTGGTGATTCCAGGTTTCAAATCCAGGGCTGTCCAGTTGCAAAGCTGTTGTTCTTAACCATCATCATATACCCAGGACCCCGATTCCTGTTCATTGTCACAAAGCCCCTGCTCTCTGTCTCAGGACAGGGCCTGTCCAAGCCAGGGCTCTGCCTGGGTCCCGCTGATCCCTCTTTCAGGGGGGGCATCTTCCTTCTGACCTCAGCACACCCAGCAGTGAGGAGCTTGAGTCCCTTTGAGGAGTTCTTCCATGCTAAGCACCTTTGCTGCCTGCATCGGTGAACATCAAGCCTGCAGCCATCCTGGCGCCACACTATTGTGACAAAGCTTCTAGGTGACCACCGGGCACACTGTTTCCCCCAGACCCCACAGGCGCCACAATCCCGGCTGCTCTCCCTCTGCCCCTCTGTGTGCCAAAGGCTGCACGTTTCAGCCCAAACGCATCTTGCTCTTTCCGGCCTTTGCAAAGCCCTCTTCTCTACCCTGTGGACCATTTGAGAAATGCCCACTCATCCTTTAAGATTTGGCTCACTCGCATATCACCTTCTTCAGAAAACCATTCTGAACCCCAGACTGAATCACATGCCTGTGTGTGTGGCCAAAGCTCCTGTCCATCTCCTGCCATTGTGGACCAGAGGAGGTGGGCGGTCGCCACTGTTGGGCGGATCTGAACTCACTCTGAGTGCAGTGGGGACTGAGGGAGGAGTTGAGAAGGAGGGTGCTGAGATGGTGTTGGCCATAACAGGGAGCGTGAATGGGGAAAGCAAGAGTTAAATTAGGAGAACCAGTGAGGGGACCACCACGTGATGGCAGCTGGATGGTTATTTTGGCTTCAGCTAAGGTGACAGGGAGTGGAGAGGACTCATTTTGGAGGTAAAAGTGACAGTCTTGGGGGTGCATTGGAAACAATGGGTAGCGGAGCTAGCGAAATCAAGGATGGCGCCTAAGCACGTGGCTTGAGCTCTTAGGTGAAGGGCGGTGGAATTTGTGGGGTTAGGAAGTTAAGAGTCACCTGTAAGCACCTATGTGGATGGGACGTTGTGGCTGGGAATGACAGTACTGCTTGGCACGCTGCTTGAGGCACCACCAGGCATGCAGGAGGCCACGTCGGGGAGGCCAAGGACAGGAACCAGGGGCTCAGGGGTGGATACAGATCCACCAGTGGTGGTAGAAGTTCCTTCATGATGGCATCTAGTCATGTTCAGATCCAACTTTCACGAGAAGATTAAGAAAATCCACAAACAATACCTGTTGTTGCAAGCTCCTGTGATGGGCCTGTATTTGTTCGCCAGGCAAGTGTTTGGGCATTTTGGGGGCAGCATGTAAGGGAGACATCCAGACATGTTTGCAATGATGCTCAGCAGATCTTCTGATAAAGCATCTGTGAAAAATAGGAAACCATGAATTCTGTGCTTGTAACCACAAATCCACCTAACAAATATTCTATTGCAGTCTCAAAAGTGACTCCAGCATCTGAATTTGGGATTCATATGTAACTGGGGTCACTGTTTTTGAGAAAATCTGCCTTCTCCCTTTACATCAAGTGCTCACTCATTTAATTCCCTTGAGCTTCCTTATTGCTAGAAATGTGGGGGTTTTAAAATTTATTTTTGCTCTGTGATCTTTCAGAAAAGCAATCTAGGAGCTCTCAGCCCTCAGGGGGATAAGCCAGCAAGTAACTTTGCAGTTACCATCAACTCTCACTAAGCACATCTCCAGGGCTCATTCATCATATTCGAACAGTGAGGCATGTGTGCCTAGTAATGGCCCCAGTGCTTTAGAAGACAGTGAGGAGTAGAATTTATCCCGAACCCTAATGTAGAAAAAATCTTGCCTTGATGAAGATGGTACGCTTATCTATAAAACCTTTCGTTTTTCCTTTGTATTGATTTTTGGTTCCCTTGTAAATCTTTCCAGATGAGACGAGAACCCAGGAAACAATTTCCTGTTTTTCTTTTTTTTGGATTAATTCTGTCACTATAATTTATATGTTATTCAACAAATCAAGGTGAGAGTGGCTTTATTGTCCATTAGTAGAGGTAATCATCGATTACTTCTCCAATATGGTTTATATAAATCTTTGAGGATAATGCCACAAAACTTTGATTAACAAGATACCAGTGAAATTGAGATATTCAACAGAAAAAAAAGCCAGGAAGGAATGCATTCCATTTTCAGATATGGGAGAAACAAACTAGTCTTTCAATCATGAATGCTCACTAACAGTCCAACGGGAATGGCTCTATGGGAACAGTTAAGTAAACCTTGGACTGCAGTGTGCATTCAGTTAGTGGAGGATTACGCATTCTTCAAAAAGCTGAGCACAGATTCTTCTTGACAGGAATGCCCTCAAGCAGGTGCTTGCAGACAACAAATCATGTGCGATAGAAAAGAACCATTGGCCGGGTACGGTGGCTCACGCCTGTAATCCCAGCACTTTGGGAGGCCAAAGAGGGTGGATTACGAGGTCAGGAGATCGAGACCATCCTGGCTAACATGGTGAAACCCCGTCTCTACTAAAAATACAAAAAATTAGCCGGGTGTGGTGGTGAGTGCCTGTAGTCCCAGTTACTCAGGAGGCTGAGGCAGGAGAATGGCGTGAACCTGGGAGGCGGAGCTTGCAGTGAGCCGAGATCGCCCCACTGCACTCCAGCCTGGGCGACAGAGCGAGACTTCATCTCAACAAAAAAAAAGAAGAAAAGAACTATGAGGTCATAGTCATGTAACACACAAGACCAACATGAAGGAGCAGCCTAGAAGGACAGGCACTGACCTTTAATGGAATTCTGGCTTGGTGATGAAGTAATGGGAAACCTTTTTAGGTTCCTCGTGTTCTAAGTTTTCAAGATGGGCTATACTTACAACGGAAATCATTTTAAAAAATTCTAAATTATGGAGTCCTTAAGTTCTACATTATAGCCTGGACCAAATACCTCAGCCTATTCTCCTAAACATCGATGTCTACAGACCCGGCAGTGAGCATGTGGCTCTAAGGCATGGACCAGAAAGACCCACATCTTCTGACGTCAGGAACTGCCATTTCCATAGGAGGCCTGACAGGACAGTGGACAGGACAGTGTCCCGTAACAGGACAGTGGACCGAGAGTTCTTAGAAACATCGTTCAGCCATATGGTTTGAAAGAAAGGACATTTCAAAGTGGTGAATCTTAGCTTGCTATGAAATTAATTAAACTTCACTGTTAAGTTTAGGATTTGAGAATTCTGGTCAATACTGATTTAGCCAAGTTTGTCTTATTCTAAAAGCTAAGTAACCAGCACCAAATTGATCTATAGCTAGTTAGAAGGAAGAACTCAGAGGCCAAGTAGCTCATGGCGCTGCAGAGAAAAAATTCTTGATAAATTAATTAAAAAGACATTTCGCTTACTTGCTCTGCATCATAGGAAGCACCAATATGCCTTTTGACTGCCTGCATTACCATCTCAGTATCTTATGCCCATAGAGTGCTTTAGAGCTGAAGAAATGACGACATTTGCTCCTGGTTTATGCACTGGTCTTCTGATAGCCATTGGAGTGAGCAGTGCCACTGTCCTCATTTTAGAGATGAGTAAATTGGCTCTCAAATGTCCTGGGTAGTTCTGCTGAGGCACCAGCAACTCAGTGGGAAGATGGGGCTCCCTGCAATGCGCTGCCTCACACATGAAGTCCTTTCACTGTAGAGGTTTTATGAATGAGCTTGCCAAGTTTTAACTAAGAGGGGGGCTATGGGAAAATTCCTAAATTATTTTATACCATAAAAAATGGATGTTTAGCTTATTGAGCTACTTCTCAAATTTGATTTGGATAGGAGAGAAATGGCTATTTTCCAGAGTAACAAAAATAAGATATTGAGACTGTTTGGTAAGCATTTTTAAAAATTGCAGCTTGTATGCTTTGAAAGAGCTGGAGTCCCATCCTGCTTGGTCTCAAGTAAAAAACATGCCCTGAGCAAGCAGCCCCTGCACAAAGTCAAGGTGTCCTCCTTCGGGAGTTGCCGCTCCTCAGTGGGGAGAGGGGCACACATTACCCGTTGGATGCTGTGATTGTTGAGTTTTCAGGTTGACTTTTCTTTTCATCGCTTGTATTGATGTTTCCATTATCTCTGCTGCTCGGGCAATCACTCCGCTTGTTGGCTCAGGAAGTTTGGAAAAAGACAGAAGCTGAGCTGGAGAAAGGATTCCTCTTTTCTTGAGGTTTCTATGGCACATAAAGAAGATATAAAATAGATTATTTGTCTATGGTAGCTTTGGTACTTAATTACTAATTAATTAAGCAGACATTTATTGAGTAACTACTGTGTCCCAGACAATGTGACAGGCACTGCGGGGTGTGCACAGGTAAAACATGTGCAGTTGCTGTCCACGGGGTCACTGGGTTTAGGAACAGGAATAGGGTGTAAGTGATGCATCAGTATTGAATGATGAGGAAAATGGCACAGACTTGCCCTTTACAAAACTGCCAAATCAGAATGAATTGGATTCTCATAACAATTGCGGACAGGCCATCACATCCAAACCAAGATATGATTTGTTTACATCCCAGCTAATGAAACAGGAGACTGGGAAGCGCACAGCCCTGCCCTGATCTCAGAGCCAAAGCCTGCAGAAGCTGCATGTGTCCCAGCTCCAACTTCTTCCCTTCCCACTCCAGTGCAGAGCATTGGCTCAATGCAGCCCTAGAACGGGGCAGCAAAGCTGTTCACAGTGAGAGCTAAACACACCCTCATAGAAGAAGAAATATGTGAAGCCTGCCTCATCTGAATGCCTCTCCTCATCTGGGGCCTCCCCTCACCTGCAGGCCTCTCCTCACCTGCAGGCCTCTCCTCACCTGCAGGCCTCACCCCACCTGCAGGCCTCCCCTCACCTGCAGGCCTCTCCTCACCTGCAGGCCTCCCCTCACCTGCAGGCCTCCCCTCACCTGCAGGCCTCACCCCACCTGCAGGCCTCTCCTCACCTGCAGGCCTCACCCCACCTGCAGGCCTCTCCTCACCTGCAGGCCTCCCCTCACCTGCAGGCCTCTCCACACCTGGGGCCTCCCCTCACCTGCAGGCCTCCCCTTACTCCTGGTCTCCCACACAAGCACCTGGCCTTTTTAGATTCTCAGCAGCAGCAGCTACACGGAACCAATCCAAGGTTTCACAACTGGCTTGCCTACTAGCATTTGAGGACCTGGGGAACCTGGAGAGAAAGCACAGAGGTGACCTTTGCAACAATGCTGCCAACACCTGGGTGGATCAGAGCATTGTCCAGGCACCTGCAGAATGGAATTACTGAGTCCCCAGGACCCAAGGGAGGACTACATCAAGTTCACCATCCTTCTTGTCTGAATGTTGAGTCAATCACCTTTGGCAGCAAAGCTGGCAGGGCCAGGCCTCAAAGAAGAAGCAGAGTGACCACAGCGGACTGTGCTCTGGGGGCTCCAGACAGCTGCCCTGGCTGAGTCGCCTGCAGGGCGGGGCCTCTCCAGCTGACAGGAGGCCAGCACTGCCCAAGTGACCACCGCAGGTGTGTGAGTGGACAGGTCCTAGAGCAAGAGCAGGAGCAAGAGAGTAGAGTTGGGGAGGTGTTGGCAGGTGTGCGAGTGTCAGACGCCAGACAGAACTACAGAGCTGGCAGGAGAACCTCCTTCCCTCTGCAAGTTAGACATGAGGCTCAGGGCTCAGAATCACCTACTGTGGCTTTGGGAAAAGTGACCTAGTTGTTCTCTTCAGTTGTTCTGCCATAATTAAATGCATTGTTTATATTTTTGTTTATTAATAATAACCCCAAAATACATAGTGCTTACTGAGTGAAAATAAAGTTTTAGGTGCTGTGCTAAGCACTTGTATTCCTTCCGTAGTTAATAATATTGGATACTAAAAACTAATGTGCTAAGAGAGATTTTAAGTGCTCTCACCACATGTACACACCAATCACTACGGAAGGTGATGGGTATGTTAACTTTGTTTGACGGTAGTGATCATTTCATTATGTATTTGTATATCAAAACATCATTTTGCACATCAGAAATACATACAATAAAAATAAATTTTTAAAAAGCTTACTTGTTAACCTATTTTTTGCATTGCTGTAAAGAAATACCTGAGAATGGGTAATTTATAAGGAAAAGGGATTTAATTGGCTCAAGGTTCTGCGGGCTGTGCAAACATGGACCCAGGATCTGCTTGGCTTCTGGGGAGACCTCAGGAAGCCACAGTCATGGTGGAAGGTGCAGCAGGAGCAGGTGTCTCACATGGTGAGAGAAGGAGCAAGAGGTCAAGCGGGCAGGTGCCACACAACGTAAAACAACCAGGTCTCACATGGACTTCCTGGGCAAGAACTGACTCATCACCAAGAGGATGGGGCTAAACCATTCATCAGGGATTTGCCCTTGTGATCCAATCGCCTCTCACCAGGCCTCAACTCCAACATCCAGAATCACATTTTAACATGAGATTTAAGGGGGAAAAGCATCTACACCTTATTATTCTACCCGTTCCCCCAAATCCCACACCTTTCTCACATTCCAAAATACAATTGCGCATTCGCAACAGTCCCCCAAAGTCTTAATTTATTCTGGCATTAACTCAAAATCCCAAGTCCAAAGTCTCATCTGGAGATGAGGTCCTTCTACCTATGAGCCTCTGAGATAAAAAAGCAGTTATATGTTTCCAAGATACAATGGGGGCACCAGCATTGGGTATATTTTTCCATTCTAAAAGGGAGAAATCAGCCAACAGGAAGGCTTGATAGGCCCCACACCAGTCTACACTCAGCAGGCAATTCATTGAATCTTAAAGCTCTGAAACAATCTCCTTTGACTCCGTGTCCTGTACCCTGGTGTGAGGAATGGGCTCCCATAGCCTTGGGCAGCTCTGCCCCTGTGGCTTCCCTGAACACAGCCCACCTGGCTGCTCTCATGGGTTGGAGTTGAGCACTTGAGGCTTTTTCAGGTGCAGAGTGCAAGCTGCTGGTGGATCTACAATTCTGGGGTCTGCAGGGCGATGGCCCCCTTCCCACAGCTCCATTAAGCAGTGTCTCAGTGGGCACTCTGTGTGGGGGCTTCAACCTCACATTCCCCCTCAGCATGGCCCTAGTAGAGTCATTCTGAGAGGGCTTTGCCCCTGAAGTAGGCTTCTACCTGGGCACTAGGCTTTTTCATGGATTCTCTGAAATCTAGGGGAAGCTACTAAGCCTCCTTAACTCCTGCATTCTGTGAGCCTGAAGGCTGAACACCGTGTGAAAGCTATAGACACTTACGGCTTGGACTGTTCAAGCTGTGGCTTGAGTAGTACCTGGGCCCCTCTGAGCCAAGCCCAGAGCCAGAGTAGCTGGGATACAGGGATCAGTGTCCCTGGGCTGCACAGGACAAAGAGGCCCAAGGTCTAGACTCTGAAGTCATTCTTTCCTCCTAGATCTCTGGCCTTGTTACAGTAAGGGCTGTCCTGAGGACTTATACCATGCTTTCTTCGAGGCCCTTTTCCTGTTGTCTTGGATAGTAGCACTTGGCTCCCTTTTAGTCATGCTAATCTCTCTAGTAAATGGTTACTCCAACAACCCCCTTTAATTCTTTCCCTGAAAACAGGATATTGTTTTCTATCAAGTGGCTAGCCTGCAAATTTTCCAAATGTTTATGCTCTGCTTCCCTTTTAAATATAATTTCCAAATACAAATCATTTCTTTGCTCTCATATCTGATGGTTGGTTGTTAGAAGAAGCCAGACCACCCCTTGAATTCTTTGCTGCATAGAAATTTCTTCTGCCAGATACTCCAAGTCATCACTCGTAAGTTCAAATTTCCATAGATGCCCACGACTTGGACACAATGCAGCCAAGCTCTTTGCTGAGGCATAGCACAGGCGGCCTCTACCTCCAGTTCCCAGTAAGTTCCTCATTTCCATCTGAGACCATGTCAGCCTGGCCTTCACTGTCCTTATTTCTACCAGCGTTTTGGTCACAGTCATTTGGCAAGTCTCTAGGAAGTTCTAAACTTTCCCTTGTCTTTCTCTCTTCTTCTCAGCCCTCCAAACTCTTCCAACCCCTGCCATTACACAGTTCCAAAGCCACTGCCACAATTTCAGGTATCTTTATAGAAACACCCTACTCCTCAGTACCAGTTTTCTGTGTTAGGCCATTTTCACATTGCTATAAAGAAATACCTGAGACTTGGTAATTTACCCAGAAAAGAAGTTTAATTGGCTCACGGTTCTTCTGGCTATATAAGCATGGCTCCTGCACCTGCCTGGCTTCTGGTGAGGGCCTCATGAAGCCGACAACCATGGCAGAAGTTGAATGGGGAGTGGTCAGGTCCCGGAGTAAGAGCAGGAGCAGGAGAGTAGAGTGGGGGAGATGCCACAGACTTTTAAACAACCAGATCTCACGTGAAGTAACTGAGCAAAAACTCCCTTATCACCAACGGGATGGGGCAAATCACTCACCATATATATTAGAAATAACTTCATGTACATACAAATGCGTATGACATTTAACTTAAAATATAAAACACGTGTTTTATATCGGCTGACATGTTTGTAAAAGGTACTATACAGTCATGAACTTTGAGGACACTGAGATTATAGCTACTTACAACTAACACATTAGCCAGCCATAGTTCATGGATGCCAGCCAAAGACAGGAGACTCTCGGCCCAGACACAAGTGACATTGTCAGTCACAGCAGCAGCAGAGCCAGAGTGTAAGCACCTGTGCAGGTTCCCCAGGACTCGCCATGGTAGACAGGATAGCAACCCTCCCCAAAATGCGTGCTTTCCTTGGACACATTTATCTAAAATCTATCTGAGCAAGACATTTGGCTAATAGGAAGAACAAGAATTCTCTGGAGATCTGAAGGCCAAGGGTGCTCCTTTTGATGAAATCCACTTTCTCTGCTTCCTAGAACATCACCTGCACCCACTCGAGGGCTCACCTGTCTCATCCCTTCTTTTGCCTGGCACCCATGGGACAACACAATCTGGGCCCAAAAGGGGTACGTCAGGAAAGCAGGGGTCTGGGAAACTGAGCTCAGCTCTTGACAGTGACGTGGAGGGTATCACCCAGTGGATCCCCCGGATAGGTCCCCAGGCCATGCTGCCCATGCCAGCCCTTCCTGTCCCTGCAACTGCCGTGTAGCTCAGAGGACTCTCCCTTGCTGGCTGGTCACTTTCCCGTCATGTCCATGTTCTGCAGAGCCCAGCCTGTGGGGAGCTCAGTTCAGGAGAGCCTGGAAAGGTGCTTCAACCACCCCACAAGCCACAGTCTGCTCTGTTCATCTGCTGCTATTTCCCAGGGGCCCCAGCCATGGGTCATTCCGAATGCAGACAGTTTGCAGCCCAGCCCAGGGCTGCATGTTACTTTAAGACCTCAGCTTCAGAACATAAGCAAGGTATTAATAGGTGACACTTTCAGGCTCTTAATTGCAGCAAAATATCTGAAAATCAAACTCAAATTAGGGAAACTTTGACTCTAGCTGGTTTCGCATTCTTAATGTGAAGAGCCCACACAGAGCCATGCATCAAATGTATGTTCCCACGAATTCTCTGGATCGCTCTCGGTTTGGGGACATCATCCAATAGCTTCATTTGATTAAATAATAACACTCCTTTAGCTCTTCTGTCTGTCATCCCAGTAATGCCCAGAGTGTTTCACCGTGAACAGTAAACAGACTCAAATGGTATCACCAATCTAGATGCAGATATTCCAGGCTGAATACACCCTGGAACTCACAGCAAATTGTAAATATTGGAAATGGTCCCTGAATGCTAAAAGGGAATGAATTTACTGCTCAAGGAGTGTGAGCCCAGACAGATCATGGGGTGAGCAACTGAGACTGATGGGAGCATTTGGTTCCTCGGCCTCTGGTCTCCCGGACCCACAGCCTCCTCATGCAGACGCTTCTTCTGTCCATGCCGAAATTATAAAATTATGAAGCGGAGAAAGGGAGACAGTTGCTCCCACTCTCACGGCAGGTGGAGGGAGCAGATCTGCAGTGCCCGCTCTTTGCCATGGTGGGAGAAAAGCACACTGCCCTGTCCGAGGGGTGCCTGCCAGGTCAAGGGCACACTCACCCTCACCCCCACACACTCATGGGGCCACTCACTACCAGCCACACCTGGCCAGGTGGCCCAGACACAATGCCTGCCTCCCTCACAGGGTCTGGCTGCTGCAGGTGAACCTGGTTGCTGATGCAGCCTGGGCCGCAGGCCCCAGAACCCTCCCCTGCCTCCCTGGACATCATATCTTCCTTCAGAACACACTGCACTCTCCAGTCAAACAGGGATGCTCTTCCCCAGAGCCTGGGCCGGCAAGCTCACTGCACATCATAAAGATCTGGGTCCCCAGGCACAGGGTCCCCCTCCCCAGATGTGGCCCCTTCTGTGTGCAGCCTGCCCTGGTCTCCTTTCCATTGCTCTATGGGAGCTGGTCTCAGGGAATGAGCGTAAACACTAAAACTCTGGCCCCATCTACCTTGGGAGCAAAGTCCCTTTGTCCCTGGCCCCATGCTACCCAGGTAAGTGAAGTGATGAATGAGGGGGTAGGGTGGTCTCAGACTCTCCCTTTTCGTAAACACTTCCGTAGGCAGGCTCTGTGCTTTCCTATCACTTTCCAAAAGCCTAGGGCCATACCACTGTCCATGAGTGAGTGGAAGAAATGATTTAGGCACACTCTAGTTTTGGATATTCTTATTTAGAAAAGTTATTTTTTTTCCTTTTTGGCTCTAAAGTAACTAGATGTGTTTTGAAGGATAAAAGTATTTTATTATTATTAAAACTTTTACTCAAAGTAAGTCAGTTCTCCAACCAACAAACCATCATGTTCCCTGATGATCTAATAAATTCATCCCTAAATGAAGTGCCTTCTTCAGGTGTCTGTCTTTACAGAAGGAGCATGGACTTTTCAGAATATGAAATAATCTAATGCATTTCTGTATCCTGGCATCTAAAACAATGACTTTACAGAAGGAGCATGGACTTCTGAGAATATGAAATGATCTAACTTATCTCTGTATCCCGGCATCTAGAACAATGACTTTACAGAAGGAGCATGGACTTTTGAGGATATGAAATGATCGAACTCATCTCTGTATCCCGGCATCTAGAACAACGACTTTACAGAAGGAGCATGGACTTCTGAGGATATGAAATGATCAAACTCATCTCTGTATCCCGGCATCTAGAAAAATGACTTTATGGAAGGAGCACGGACTTCTGAGAATATGAAATGATCGAACTCATCTCTGTATCCTGGCATCTAGAACAATGACTTTATAGAAGGAGCATGGACTTCTGAGTATATGAAATGATCAAACTCACCTCTGTATCCCGGCATCTAGAACAATGACTTTACGGAAGGAGCACAGACTTCTGAGGATATGAAATGATCGAACTCATCTCTGTATCCTGGCATCTAGAACAATGACTTTACAGAAGGAGCATAGACTTCTGAGGATATGAAATGATCAAACTCATCTCTGTATCCCAGCATCTAGAAAAATGACTTTATGGAAGGAGCACGGACTTCTGAGAATATGAAATGATCGAACTCATCTCTGTATCCTGGCATCTAGAACAATGACTTTACAGAAGGAGCATGGACTTCTGAGTATATGAAATGATCAAACTCACCTCTGTATCCCGGCATCTAGAACAATGACTTTACGGAAGGAGCACAGACTTCTGAGGATATGAAATGATCGAACTCATCTCTGTATCCTGGCATCTAGAACAATGACTTTACAGAAGGAGCATAGACTTCTGAGGATATGAAATGATCTAACGCATCTCTGTATCCCGGCATCTAGAACAATGACTTTACAGAAGGAGTACAGACTTCTGAGGATAGAAAATGATATAACTCATCTCTGTATCCCAGCATCTAGAACAATGACTTTACAGAAGGAGCATAGACTTCTGAGGATATGAAATGATCTAATGCATCTCTGTATCCTGGCATCTAGAACAATGACTGCATAGAAGGAGCTCAGACTTTTGAGGATATGAAATGATCAAACTCATCTCTGTATCCCGGCATCTAGAACGATGACTTTACATAAGGAGTACGGACTTCTGAGGATATGAAATGATCTAACGCATCTCTGTATCCCGGTATCTAGAACAATGACTTTACAGAAGGGGCACGGACTTCTGAGAATATGAAATGATCTAACGCATCTCTGTATCCCGGCATCTAGAAAAATGACTGCACAGAACGGGCATGGACTTCTGAGAATATGAAATGATCTAACTCATCTCTGTATCCCGGCATCTAGAACAATGAGTTTACAGGAGGAGCATAGACTTCTGAGAATGTGAAATGATCGAACTCATCTCTGTATCCTGGCATCTAGAACATGACTTTACAGAAGGAGCACGGACTTCTGAGAATATGAAATAATCTAACTCATCTCTGTATCCCGGCATCTAGAACAATGACTGCATAGAAGGAGCTCAGACTTTTGAGGATATGAAATAATCAAACTCATCTCTGTATCCCAGCATCCAGAACAATGACTTTACAGAAGGAGCACGGACTTCTGAGGATATGAAATGATCAAACTCATCTCTGTATCCCAACATCTAGAAAAATGACTTTACAGAAGGAGCATAGACTTCTGAGGATATGAAATGATCTAACGCATCTCTGTATCCCGGCATCTAGAACAATGACTTTACAGAAGGAGCACGGACTTCTGAGGATATGAAATGATCGAACTCATCTCTGTATCCCGGCATCTAGAACAATGACTGTTCCACAGTAGAAACAGTATTTCTTAAGGAAAGAAACATAGTTGGAATAGGTGTATAGTATAGTGTATTTTTTTGAGAGCTATCAAAAGGCAAATCTTTCCAATAGTCTCCCCAGTTGATGCCTCTCCTGGTCTTCCCTCACTCTAATGCATCCTTAGGATCAAGGCATTGATTTCAAAAGGGTTCTGTTAACATGCAATTTGTAAACCAAAAATAAAATTCTAATGTCCTCGCCTAACCACCTGAGTGGATCCCACCTCTCGGCCAAGAGCATTCCAAAGTTAGCCTGAAAAGCTGGGTCAGGTCACGATGGAAGGTGGTGGGTCAGACACACCTCCTTCTACCCCTCCAGCATCAACATCAACACAGACCTTAAGTCTGATAAGAAACATTCACCATCTCTTCTCTGTGAAGCAATAAAACCTTGGTGTCCATAACCCCTTAACATAACCCAGACATTCCGTCCTACTGATAATAATTCCTTCAGCTGATTGTCAGTCAGAAAACTGTTACATCTACTTATGACCTGGAAGCTCCCCACCATGTAAATCTGACACGTATTGATTGATGTCTTATGTCTCTCTAAGATGTGTAAAAGCAAGCTGTGCCCCAGCCATCTTGGGCACATGTCCTCAGGACCTCCTGACACTGCGTCACGGGTGCATCCTTATCCTTGTTAAAATGAACGTTCTAAATTGACTGAGATCTGTCTTAGATACTTGGGTTCACAAATTGTTACTAAGAGAGCAGCACACACTTCTTACTACGCACTTGGTATCCACCCCCACTGCCATGTCTTCCCCAGGAATTCCTGCCCATTTTAGACATATTAAAGTGTGCGTGAGTTTATGAGAAATAGTGTTTCTCTTTCTTTTCCCTTTGATTCAATTTTTAGAAAATAAATAATAATTTGTTTGCAGCCAGTATGAACAGTAAGGTATTTTTCTGGCTGGAATAATAGAAATTTGGAATAAATTAACTGCTGTCTTTTGATATTTTGTATCTCAAGAACTTATATAATTATTAGTCAACTTCCTACAAAATAATAAGCTTGGGAGGGCAAACTGCTTTACAGGTTTTTTGTTTTTTGTTTTTCTTTTCTTTTTCTAGACAGGTAATATGAGACCACAATATTCTTAATAGTGGTGTCTGTTATATAATTACAAATGCTAATTATTTCAAAAATGGGGGAGAGCCCCATTTAATTCTTTATTCTATGCCACAGGTAATGTTACAGTTATATCACAACACCAAAGATCTGGGATCTAGGTCTCTCTTTTCCTCCTTAATCTGTCCTAATCCTGGAGAAGAGAGGCTGGTTTTGCTATCAGGACGTCAGCCTCTACTGTCTTTTAACCAGGGTATACGTAATTGCTAATTGCATCAGGGTGCTCTTCCTTTGTGTCTTGCTTAAGAAAGGATTGGAGATTAAATACCAGTTCTGTCTGCTGCTTGCACATGACACTGGGGAAGTAAATTAACAATGGCAAGCTTCAGGTTTTCATCTGCAATTGCGAAAATCAGGCCACACGTGTGTGGATGTCAGGGAGGATGCGCCTGTCGGTGGCATTTGGGGCGGCGGCCCCTCCGCAAGGCTCACCTCTGCATCGTGGCGTACATGGCGGTGTCCACCAGGCGCTTGCTTTCCTCCAAGACGCTAGAGACACGAGACTCCTCAGGCTTTCCTACGGAACAGAATGTCACACAGTCAAAGTGCAATGACAGTTCAGCGATTCACTGACAGTGTTGCTTTGTTCCTCAAGCCCATCTTGCTGCGGTGATGCCCACGTGGCTTCCGGGACAGGCAGGCAGCCAGGTCCCGGGGTCGCTTCCCTCCACAGGCCTTCACTTCCCCGCTACAGAGGGGCGTCCACCCCCACTGCACGGAGCTGCCTGGAGGATGGGATCAGAGCTACTCACCTTAATTTCGCACTTGCCCAAACCACTTCAAATGATTCCGAATAACTTTTGTTCTGAACATTCATCACTGGTTACCTGAGCCAGTGGTAAAGTTGATAAGATTTGCCTATCTTGTGTACTTAATAAAAGATAAAATAATTCCACTATACCAGTAGTTTCCAATGAAAGCACTCCTGTGTTATTTGTTTTAGCACCTGGAATGTGTAAGAGGTTAAGATCCCATTTCTGGGTATCAACGTGAAGTTCCGGACGCGGTAACAGGAAGACGGCAAGTGTTTCCGGCCATGTTCACACGTCAGTCCTGTTACTAAATTCACCTGCGTAGCATCAATACTTCACCAAAGGAATGAATTGGCTCCTAAAAGCAAATAGAAGTCCCTGAAGGGCACACCAGGCTCTCGCTCTCCCCATGGCCCAGCGCGGCGCCTGCACGAGGTCGGTCCAGCGCGGCACCTGCACGAAGTCTGTCCAGGAGAGGCGCCTGCACGAGGTCTGTCCAGCGCGGCACCTGCACGAGGTCAGTCCAGCGCGGCGCCTGCACGAGGTCGGTCCAGGAGAGGCGCCTGCGGGGTCTTCAAGGCTTCAGTCCCACGCGCCTTCCATGCTCGTCCCCACCCAAGGAGCACACAAATTCCCCAGCATCATTTCTTCCTGCTCACTCTGCCCTGCTCCGTCTGTTCCATTGGCCACCCAGTTTCTTACAGTGTGATACAGCAAAGTTAAGAAAACCTCCGTGCTGGATCTCTCTTGGGTTCTGGGATGAGTAACCAGTGGTTAAGCACTTGGGGCAGAGGGTGACCCCTCAGGGTTGGGCAGAGAGCAATGAACAGAGCCCCCCGGTGTGGGGCTCCCTGGGGCAAGGGCAGGAGGGAGGGAGGAACACCTAGCACGGGCTCACAGCTCGCCGGGGACCCCCAGCACAGCCGTCAGAGCTGCAGGCTCTGGGTGTGGAATCTGAAGAGGGGACCTGGCTTTACGCCAATGTGTGCGTGCTGGGGACAGTGCAATGTGGGACGATGCCACCAAGAGTGAGTAGGAGCCGAGAGGGGAGGGGCGGCCTGGGCGTCGCAGGATCGGTGGCAGGTGTGGACCTCAAGGACCAGCATTCCGGGCTTTATGGAGATTTCTTTCAGCTCTCAAGAATCAGGGAACCTCCTGTTCCCACAAAAGCTTGAGATATAAGACACCTGGAATTTTCCTTTATTTTCCTCTTATTTCCTTCTAAACCCACTGCAACTGCCCAGGCAACTCAACTCACATTTTGTATTCTGTGGTCAGTCACGACCGCTTATTTGCCAAATGCAGTAACCAGCCCCGCCCCCCACCTCCCCAGGACTCTGGTGCTTTTGGGATGTTGCCGGCATTCTTAAGTGGCAGAGGGGTGACGGCCATGGGCTCTGGAGTGAGACAAATCAATCTCCGAGTGACGCGGCAGCTCACTTCACCTGGCGCGGTTTTCTCTCCTAGCTGCAGAGTTACATCTTAGGATGGTTTTAGAGAGAAGTTTGCACAGCTCTTGGCCGAGGGCCTCGCAAGTGTGCTCTGAAGAGAGAAGTTTGCACGGCTCTGGGCTGAGGGCCTGGCAAGTGCACAGAGTTACGTCTTAGGATGGTTTTACAGAGAGGTTTGCACGGCTTTTGGTCCAGGGCCTGGCAAGCGTTCAGTGCTCCCGGCCGTCGTGCCTTTTGCTTTCAGTCTCTGGCCACTCTCTCTCTCAGCCTCGGTCACTGTGGCTCTCTTCTCTCCATGGTCTCCCTCCTGTGAGTGTCACCTCGGGTGCATTTCTGGCTCCTCTGATCTTTGCCCTCTCCTCTCACCCTCCTTTGGTCCTCTCCCAAACGCCCGTTTTCCACTTGAACTTCTCTCCTGAGTCACGCCATCCTCCTCTGTTCCCTGTTGAGGGGTGTTAACAGCCTGAAATAACCACCCTACCAGCTCAAGTCCCCAAGCAAGAAGCCCAGCCGTGGCTTTCCTTGCCTTTCACTCACCATGTGGTGTGAATTTCCCCATAATGTCTCTGGGAGAACGTTCTGCTCCTGCCTGGCCGTTGTCAGTCTCACTTTCTACTGCCTTAGTAGAAGGAGCTCTTGACTGGCTCCTGCACTGATCTCCCCACCATCCTTCTGTCCCTCCTGCTGTCACCCAAGTGACCTTTCTAAACCAAGGCCTGCTTGTGCCTGTGCCTTTGATGAAAGCATCTGAAGGCTCCTGATGCCCACTGAATTGCGTGCAGGTCTTCCTCAGAATCCAGGACGTCCACCACCTGCCCAAGACCAATCTCCATGTTGCAGAGCTGTGGAGGTAACGCACAATTTATCCTTCATCTCATGAAATTGTCAATCTCAAGCTCCCAGCTCTTCCTTTATGAAATTTTGATCCTGCTGATCTTTAGGTACCAGAAAAAAAATTAGCTCTGTCACTCACACCACCTGTGTATATGCATCCTATCACTGAGAGTCTCTTCAGGGCTCTGCAAAGTTCTGCGCTATTCACGACCAAGACCAAAGGCTGGTTTTCAGCAGGCACTTGACAATTATTTAAGAACCAACTGATTAAATATAAAGAAACATGCTTATCCTTCTCTACTATGCTTGGAAACGGCAGTTACTAGAGAGATCATTCCTTGTTATTGACCAATATTAATATATTGTTATTCAAGTTTAACTGATCATATGTTGCTTAGTCTCTAGTTTCTTTTCTTATTGTAAAATATTTTACAGAATTAAAACATTCTTATAGGCTTGCAGATTATTAGTCTTTTAAGTTTCATAAAATAAATCCATTTCTGTATTGAAAACTTCCTCCCAGAGACACATAACTCTCATCAGATAGTCTCAAGTCTCTACTGGAACCGGTGGTGTTTTCATTGTTTAGGTTAACTACTTCTTGGCTGAATAGAGATGACTGACATCCATCTGTAGGGGAAGAAGAAACCTTTTCTCTCCCTGCATCTTAGATTAATTTTCTGGGGCATTGAAATTAGACTGACAAAAGGCAGAGTCACAGGAGGAAAACTCACAGGGGTTATTAGCCTGGACTCCTGCTTCCACGAGGGAGCCCCCTGAGCGCCCCAAGATGGAAACTCGAATGGATCGTTAGAACTCTGCTGCACAGCCCCTCAGCAAAAGAACAATCGTTTTCCAAGAAGCTGCAAGACCAAAGCAAAGGACTTTGAGTTCCCAGGAAACACGTTTTGAGGAGGCCTCTCTGGGGCAACTACAGGAAGGGAGGCCGGGGCTGCAGAGGTTTGCCACACAAATGCCTCTGGGGCTGGTTCCAGGCTGTTGAGGGCCTGGGGTCCCTGGTGATGAATTTCTGTCCTTTCTGTTGGAGAGGGAAATGGTCACTTTTGCGGATTTATGTTCTACTTTTAGGCAATAGAGGCAGGGCAGATGGCTTTTCCTTTATCTGCTGCTTCTCAGTTTCCATCAGCTCACATTAGCTCTCCTGCCACCAGGGAGCTGGGGTGGCCAGCTCTGAGCCCCTTGCTATCGTTAGCTCTGCAGCGCCCTTCCTTCCTCAGTTCCCAGCAATCCCAGGGAAGAGGCGTCTGATGCAAGGACCATAGACTTAGGGAGTTTGAACCCGAAGTTTTTTTTCAGAACTGAACACTGAGTTCTAGGGAGTCACGGGACTTAATTACTTGCTCTGGAGAAGCCGCCCGCTGCTCTCTGCCTGCGCCTTCTCAAGATTGCTCCTGCTCTGAGGGGCGCATGGCACGGTTCCCCCAAATTCTCCTTTATGCATATTCATATTGTTCATAAAAGAGGTGGAATTCAGGGACACATTAGGCAAGAACATACCACATTTCAGAAAGAAGAAGGAAGTTGCCTTGTTCCAAAGGCTGTTTATGTTAAATATATATATGAAAGCCAAAATCTTTCTTCTCCAAAACCATAAGCCCCCAGGGCCAGAGCTTTGCTCCTAATTCTAAGCGCTTGATTCCTGTTTAGAGTTGTGTGTTGATTCTTACTTTAATCCTTGCTGTTTGTTGAAATTTAATGAACTGGAATAAGGTTTGCCAACTTTCCTTTTAAAACAAATTCACTCATTAGGCTAGCTTCCCAAATTTTCCCAGGCTGCAGGCAGCGCCTCTGCTTCTTCTTGTTCATTTGCATCTTATTTTCTTTTAACAGCTATAACTTGTGGAACATTTGCCATAAAGATAATTGCACATAAATCTTGATGTTGCACAAATGCTGGAATGCCTCTCAGCCTGTGTGGTGATGAATACACAGGGTTCTGGTGAAGAACATTCTGTTCAGGGCGTTAGAGGAGGGATTGATAGCAAACTTCTCTTAGACAACAATGGTCAAGCATAGATTTTTTTTCCATTTTCAAAGACTCTTATTACAGAATTTTCAGGTGCTGAAGTTTATTTCTCTTTGTGCTTTGACCCTAGGGGATCCTGCCCTGGAACAAGAGTCTCTCCTGCACCCACCCAGTCTGAGCACCAGCCAAGATCTTTCCCTTCTTATTCTCACCTTCCTACAGTTTGCAGGCAAGTTGATACAACCTAAACTCTATCCAGGACTGATGCTTTTCTTTTTTTCTCTCTCTCTCTTTTTTTTTTTTTTTTGAGATGGATTCTCACTCTGTCACCTAGACTGGAGTGCAGTGGTGTGATCTCGACTCTGCAACCTCCACCTCCTGGGTTCAACTGATTCTCGTGCCTCAGCCTCCCGAGTAGCTGGGATGACAGGTGGGCACCACCACGCCCAGCTAATTTTTTTTTGTATTTTTAGTAGAGATGGGGTTTTGCCATGTTGGTCAGGCTGGTCTTGAACTCCTAGCCTCAAGTGATCTTCCCGCCTCGGCCTCCCAAAGTGTTGGGATTGCAGATGTGAGTCACGGCACTGGCCTGATACTGTGTTGGGATTGCAGATGTGAGTCACGGCACTGGCCTAATACTGTGTTGGGATTGCAGATGTGAGTCACGGCACTGGCCTGATGATACTGTGTTGGGATTGCAGATGTGAGTCACGGCACTGGCCTGATACTGTGTTGGGATTGCAGATGTGAGTCACGGCACTGGCCTGATACTGTGTTGGGATTGCAGATGTGAGTCACGGCACTGGCCTGATGATACTGTGTTGGGATTGCAGATGTGAGTCACGGCACTGGCCTGATACTGTGTTGGGATTGCAGATGTGAGTCACGGCACTGGCCTGATGATACTGTGTTGGGATTGCAGATGTGAGTCACGGCACTGGCCTGATACTGTGTTGGGATTGCAGATGTGAGTCACGGCACTGGCCTGATACTGTGTTGGGATTGCAGATGTGAGTCACGGCACTGGCCTGATGATACTGTGTTGGGATTGCAGATGTGAGTCACGGCACTGGCCTGATACTGTGTTGGGATTGCAGATGTGAGTCACGGCACTGGCCTGATACTGTGTTGGGATTGCAGATGTGAGTCACGGCACTGGCCTGATGATACTGTGTTGGGATTGCAGATGTGAGTCACGGCACTGGCCTGATACTGTGTTGGGATTGCAGATGTGAGTCACGGCACTGGCCTGATGATACTGTGTTGGGATTGCAGATGTGAGTCACGGCACTGGCCTGATACTTTTCGCTGAGTACTTATCATCGAGCTTCAAGTATGAGGATGTGTGTTGGTTCTCTGTAAAGACCTGGGACGTGAGACTGTGAGACTGAGCGGCCACAGCCTTGCTGCTTCTGAGACTTCCAGACCTCTACGTTTTGATCTATAAAATGGGTGCCTGACACATAAGGGTGAGCCACCCACCAAGCAGGACCCCCCGGAGCACCATGTGCTTACGGTGACCGTGTGTGGTCCAGGGGGAGCCTGGATCCTCTTGGCCCTGCCGCTGCCTGCTCTTTGGCTTGTCCTGCACAGAGGCTGGGGAGCAGGCCAAGGTTTTTGCTTCACATGTCTGTGAGCACAGGTGACATAAACCCACACACAGTCATTGGGCATCATTTTCCAAACAGATTTAAAGCTGCAAAACAACTATTAAAGGCTGTAAAATAGAAATACTGTGAGACACATAATATTTTTTCAGTAACTCATTCACATTTCAAGCAAACAATAAGTCAGCTTTGAAATATTGGAGCAGGCAGAAGCATGTGCCCAGCACGCGGGGCAGTTGTCAGCTGCTGTCCTGTGCACTCGTGATGTGTCAACCAAAAGTTTAAGCAAAACGAAAAGGTCAAATCTCCCAGATATGGAAAAATAATTTTTAAAAACTGTTTTAGCAAAAGCTGTGGCTACTGCATTCCTGATGGCTTTTTAAATGTGATTTTTAAAATTAAAAAACATGTTACAAAGTTTTAAATATTTTGTTGAATAGCTCTCATGTATCACAACTTGCTCAGAACTAGCTCTTGACTTCTAACATGTTTTACTCTGGTTTTATACAACCAGGTCCTACTAAATATGAAATAAAATAACAAAGTAATTAATTTACAAACCATTGGCTGAACATCTAGCATGTTCCAGGTGATAGAGTGACTGATTTATTCTGGGAAGATGCAAAATCACTTTTTCCTGAGGTTCTTTATATTGTGACTCCATTTTTATTTTTTGTTTTTTGGTGATTGCCGAGGTACTGCATTCACCGCTTTAAATGAAGTATCTCATTCTTGCTCACAAATAATGACTGCGATGAGTAATTTTCCAGTGTTCTCCATTTGCAGGGGAGGGACAGGAATTAGGGGTGAGTAGCCCATCCTTGGGGCATGGATGGAAGCTGGCAGGGAGAGGCCCCACGGCTTCCCTGATCTCAGAGCGGGCAGTGACCAGGAAGTCCTGGGGGCTGTGGAGGGAGAGTTTTTTTAAGGAGCCTACGAGTCTGTTATGGACTTCACTGCCACTCCTAATATGGTTGTGAAGTCCTGAGATGCAGAAAAATTGGGGTAAAATGTGGCCCCCAGCAGGAGGCTGGGCTGGGTGTGGCTGGGAACAGCGAGGACTCCAGATTCTGTGACCCTGAACGACAGACAAGGCCTCCAGTCCTGGGAAAGGCTGGTGAGGGCAGAGGTGCCAGTGCTGTGCCATGGCCCCAAGACTGTGTCCAGAGACCCAGGGACCTGCCCGGCAAGGTGTCACCTGCTCCAGGGGCTCCGGGACTATGTGCAGAGGCCCAGGGACCTGCCCAGCGAGGTGTCACCTGCTCCAGGGGCCCCAAGACTGTGTCCAGAGACCCAGGGACCTGCCCGGCAAGGTGTCACCTGCTCCAGGGGCCCCGGGACTATGTGCAGAGGCCCAGGGACCTGCCCAGCGAGGTGTCACCTGCTCCAGGGGCCCCGGGACTGTGTGCAGAGGCCCAGGGACCTGCCCGGTGAGCTGTCACCTGCTCCAGGGGCCCCGAGACTGTGTCCAGAGGCCCAGGGACCTGCCCGGCGAAGTGTCACCTGCTCCAGGGGCCCCGGGACTGTGTGCAGAGGCCCAGGGACCTGCCCAGTGAGGTGTCACCTGCTCCAGGGGCCCCGGGACTGTGTCCAGAGGCCCAGGGACCTGCCCGGTGAGGTGTCACCTGCTCCAGGGGCCCCGGGACTGTGTGCAGAGGCCCAGGGACCTGCCCGGCGAGGTGTCACCTGCTCCAGGGGCCCTGGGACTGTGTCCAGAGGCCCAGGGACCTGCCCGGCGAGGTGTCACCTGCTCCAGGGGCCCCGGGACTGTGTGCAGAGGCCCAGGGACCTGCCCAGCGAGGTGTCACCTGCTCCCGGGGCCAGCGGTGTCCATGGGGTAAAATGTCCAGGCAAATGCCCCTGCAGTATTCACTCCAGTGAAACTTGTTCTCAGGGTTTGGAACTTTATTTATTTTATTAAAAGAAAAGCAAAGAGCTTGATCTGTGATTATTTTAACCACTGCATCTCAGTAGCTTTCTTAACTTGTTTTCACATAGTAGCACACTGATTCCAGAAAATACATCACAGAAGTTATTTAATAAAAAATAATTCTGTAGCAAAGGAAGAAAAACACTCCCAAAGAATTTTTTTTTCAGTTATATGAATAGGTAAAAGTGAAAATTGTCTATTGTGTCATCCAAGGAAAATCAGCTCTTTTTTAAAGAAAGAAATGTACATATTTCAATCCTTCTAAAATCAAGAATTACAATTTTTTTTTCTTAAGCATAACAAAGCATACACTACAGGGGCCTAAAGTGACTCTCAGGAGCTACCATTATGCCCTCTATTTTAGTAAGTGTGAAAAATAACTTTATAAGGCCAGAAGACCGCAATGTGTTTGCTACTTACCCCAAAGGAGTTCTTTCCCTCTCGAGATGAAGGGGAAGAAGGCTTCTGTGCAGGCCATAACCAGCGTGACAGACAGCACAGCCAGCGCTCTCATTCTAAAATTAACGGAAGGAGACAGAGTATGTAATCAAGCACTGACAAGGCCATGGGAACCGCTGTGTCCTTGTCTCCCTGCTGAGGGGCTCCCTCCACTGACTCCACGCAGCCTCTACCGCAGTGAGCGACCCTCACAGGCCTGGGGTCTGCGAGACCAGAGTCGCCGTCCATGTCAGGAGGTTACAGAAACTGCAGCGCTGAGCAGGCCTCCCAGGCCCCCATTATTCAAAAACAGAGTTTTTATGTTGGCAGCTCCAGTTGCCAATATATCTCAGTAATAACCTATTTAAATTTTTGGTAATGTCAAATAGTGTAACAGTACTGGGAATAATTATTGGGAATGAAAAAAATCTGTTTCCCCTAATGCATCTATGTGGCAAAAAGTGAGTACTATTAGAAATTTAGTCTTTATAAAAGTGATAAATAAAACCCCTAAATGCCTATTGAATTTCTTAAAGCATTCTTATGTCCATAAAATGATTTTAGAATTCTAGTTGTTAAGACAAAACAGAAGATTCAAAATTCATCATTTCTACTTTCAAATCCTTGTTTTCTTCTCTTAGGCTTTCTGTGGCTATTTTTGAGCCACTAATTTTGTTAAGCAGGATAGCACCAGTGAGTCCATGCTGACAGGAATGTGTCTCAGTAGACGGTGATCTAGGAATCGACCCTACAGGACTCACATGTTCCAGCGGAGGTCATTGCAAACAGCACTCATCAGTCAGTCAGTCAGCTTTGCTGAGAGACGCCACCCATACCTGCTATAATGGCCCAAATTACAGCCACTCTTGGGCCACTTTACAAGTTCCAATGATGAATTTCTCTTAGAAAATGGAAAAATAAAAAGCTTTACAACCTGACCTTTTTTCCTCTTCTCAGCCAACTGCACTGCTGAGTAATTTTCACGGCTGTAACTCTTCTGAAATGGGCGCCTCAATTGCCTTCCAGGGACTTGGTTACCCACCTTATAAACTGACTCTGCGCTTGGATAGCCCGTCAAGATGCTAGGAAGTCGAGTGGCGTCCGTTCTTCGTGGGGACAGAATGTCTGCGGGCTTTGTTGTGTTTGCGCCGGGCCTCTTGTGTGTCCTGACTGGTCAGAAACAAAGTGCCATGTCATCGGGGTCCACATGCAGTCCAGCCTCTGGCCGAATGAGTTAGGAAGAAGAGGGGAAAAATTATACAGGGAGAAAGAATAAACCAACTAAATCCAGACTTGTGACACTTGCATTTTCCTCCCTCTTACTTTCACAGTTAAATACCCTGTGAAAAAGGGGCTGTTAATCTTCCGAGGATTGGGTTGGGTGCAGCTCCCAGGCCCACCGATGACTCGCTCTACAACTCTGAGCCTTTTGCTTCCTGTCCCCAAGCCCCTAGTTTTCTTATCACTAAGAGGTGAATAAAGTACACTTTTTTCCAATTTGTTGAGGTGAAAAATGAGCACAGTTCAGTGTGTGTTCACCAGCATGCATTCTCCCCTCAATCCTCATCATGCACCCATCAAAAGAGTCCCCACAAAGACAGAGATGTTCTGTAGGAAGGTCACCATGACTGCATTCCGAACACTGGGAGATGACATGTTTTCATGGGTGATCTGCTTTCAGGCTGTATCTCATCATGAAAATGATAAAATAACACATCTTCAATGACCCGCTCCTGAGACTTGGAGCCTCTTCATGCCCCCGGAAGTCCTATGGGTTTCTAGTTTGTGAAAATCATCTTCATCTTTCTCCTTTTCTTTCCCCTCTCCAAATGTGACTGATGCTTCCTCTAGGTAATTTGAAACCAAATGCTAAAACACGATGCAAAGGCTTCAGAACATTAATCTTTGTTAGAAGATGTTCTGAAGCCCAAGAATGTGATGATTTGCCTTTAACATTCTCCCCTCAATCCTCATCACTCACCCCTCAAATGGGTGAAGATAACAAATGAGTTAGACAAGCTCTGAAGAGCAGGGAGGAGATCAGCCAACAGTGATATAATCCCCCCACGCACCCTGAGAATGGTCACTAGGAGGGTGGGGTTTGGATAGAGAGGAAGGACCAGACTCGGTGGCTCATTAAAGAGGATTCCATGGCTCAATGATGAGTTACTGTTGGGAACAGAAGAAAAGCACAGAGCCTCTGAGGATTCAGCCATCCTTGGTTTGATGCCTAAGCAAGTGAAAATCTCATGTACTGGCCCTAGGAAGGCCAGAGAAGAAAGGAGACTGGCTGTGACAAGCAAAGGAGCAGCAGACTCAGGCTTGGAATTGTGTTGGAGGTGCCCGTGGCACAGGCGGGCAGTGAGCTCTTGGGCATTTGGAAATGTACTTTCAGCTGTTGGGTGAAGTCCAGCTTAAAAAGACACATTTGGGAGTCCTGAGGGGGGATACAGTAGTGGACTGTGAGTGAATGGGATTCTTCTTGGGAGAATGTGGATGGAAAAGACCTCAAGAGTAGCTCAGAGCACCAGCGTCTAGGGGACACAGTCCCCCAGCCTGTGACTGCAACCTGCATGGCAAAAGGGGCTTTGCAGATGGGATTCAGTTAAGATTTTGAGGAGGGGAGATTAGCCTGGATTATCCACTGGCCTTAGTGTTAGCACACAGCTCCTTACAAGACAAAGGTGGGAAAGTCTGAGGGGAGAAAGGGGGAAGTGATGATGGAAACTGAGACTGGAGGGCCGTGGCCATGAGCCTCCAGAAACTGGAGGAGGCCAGGAGCAGGGCCTCTGGGGTCTCCAGGCACAACCAGGCCTGTCCCTGGACCTTGCTGCCAAAAGTCTCATTTGGATCTATGACCTCCGGAGCTGATGGAGTAAAGCCACTAAGCACGTGGCCCTTTGTTAAGGCATTCGCAGGAAATTCACACAGCCAGAAAGGTGGGTGGTAAAATGAGACAGCGTGGGGCAAATACTCAAGGAAGAGTTTGAAGAAGAAAGCATTAAAATGTAAAGTAAATACTGACTGGATGCTCTTTTCATCACAGAAGGACGCTTGAAAATGCCGAGTGCCGATGGAGACCTGGGAAGAGGGGGTTTGCATGCACAGCTGGGGGAGGCCGAGCCGGCACATCAACTCTCCAGGTCGTTTTGTAGCCTCTCCTCTAAGTTGCTGTTACCATTTGACCCCGCACAAATATGAGAAATGTATCTATCATTTGAAAATACATATTTTAGCTGGATTACATGATGTGCTTATTTTAATACTAATTAAACAATATAAATAATGCATCAAGTACAATGGAAGCTGTTACACTGGAAATGTTGAGAGGGGAGCGGAGAAAAGTCTGAGAATGGCGGGTTTGCAGGAGGCCCACTGGATAGCACACACATTTTTGAGAAAGAAGACGGGGGACTTGGGAAGGAAGATTTCTGCAGGGGGACGTGGAAAACCCGAGGCTATCACATAATGGGAGAATGAAAGAGAGGCAACTAAAGATCTGGCTGAAGCCCCCAGTCTCTGTCAGAAAGGAGCATTGGGAAGACGTGGCCACCCAGCAATGGAGAGCAGAGAGATTGCAGGGGAGACTCAGTGAGAAAGAGGACAGTTTTAGCCATGAGAAGGAAAGAAAAAAATACACGTCTTCTCCCATTATGAGAAAAATCAAGGAGCTCCAAAGAAGACAGAAATCTGCAAGGAACGCATGATACAGTAAGAAGCCAACTCACACATGGCAGGATGGGGGAATGCAGGGCCCTGCTACAAGCAGGTCTCAGTGAAGGAGTGGCACCAGCCCTGCGGTCCAGTCCCGGGCCCACCGAGAAGACAAGCACGCTTCCATTTTTTGGCAAGTGCCAATGAACTATTTGATATCCTGGGGAAATCTGATTACTGAATACCTTGATCAATGCATGAGAAACAGCAAATCACACATTTTGCTTGATGTCTCCATAGAAAGGCCACCTTTCTCCCTGCAGACATCGTGTGTTCTGTCCACAGACAAGAGGCTCTCCCTAACCGAGGCCCAGGACCACCTGTAATAGGCCCTTGCCTGTGACTGTAACAGAAAAGGGATCCAGGGTGGGCTCACACTTGACTCACCTGACATGTGGCCAGGGCCTGACTGCCTTGTGTTCTTCAAACTACAGCCTGATGTTGCCTTTTTTACTTGCCATTCACTTTTTAGTTTTTGTTTTCCTCGCCCCCAGCTTCATCAAGCTATCATTAACAAATACAAATTATACATATTTATGTTCACATGATGTTTTCATACATGTAAACACTGTGGGGTGATTAAATCAAGCTAATTAACATATACAGCACCTCACGTATTCATCCTTTTGTGTGTGTGATAGGAACATTTAATATCTATTCTCCTAGCGATTTTCAAATAAACAATAGTCATCAAGCTATACATTAGATCCCAGAACATTTTTATCCTGCAACTGAAACCCTCACTTTTGACCAGCATCTTTCTGCCCCTCACGGCACCTGTCCCCCCCATGGCACCAGCCCCCACCACACCTGCCCCCCACCGCACCTGCCCCGTAACCCTAGGTGTCCACCATCCACTCTCTGCTTCCATGAGCTCGACACTTTTAGATTCCATATAGGAGGGAGATCATGAGGTGTTTGTCTTTTGGTGCCTGGCTTGTGTGTGTATGTGCACGTGCATGTGTGTGTGTGTGTGTGCGCGCACTGTTTTTTGTATTTTTAAATTTGTAAGTTTATTTTTTAAGAGATGAACATGGATGAGAGGAGACTCAGGGACCTGATGACCCCCGACGGCCGTGGGCTGCACAGTGCCAGGACTGGATCCTGGAAGAGGAAAGGATGCAGATGGAAAAGCTGGGGATACCAGGGTGAGCTCTGAGATGTAATCACCAGCATTGGATCCACGTCCACTCCCTGGTCCTGGTTGCTGTGCTGTGGCCGTGCATAGAGTTAACACTGAGCAGGTGGGTGAAGGAGGTTTGGGAGCTCTGTGTTATCTTCCAACTCTTATTACAGCTCAATTCATTTTAAAACAAATCTGGAAAATAAAATGCTGTCATTCAAACTTAATTAAATTCCCCTGTAAAATTTGAAAAATTATTCAGCTTTGTTCAAACTCAGGTAGGTAATTTCCCAGTTTATATGAGTCAGATAAAACTAAAGACAAATACAGGAGGGTTTTTGTTAATTGAAATTCAGGAAATAAACATGGGGCTCTCTCACACCACAAAAAGCTCCACATTCAGCAGTAACCATTTTAATGGCTCCAGTTTTTCTGAGTAGGAGGTAGGAGTCTGGAATCTGGGGACAGCAGTCACGTCCCCGTGCGAGGCTCCTCTCATGGACTCTGGGGACGGCAGTCTGTCCCCATGTGAGGCTCCTCTCATGGACTCTGGGGACCGCAGTCTGTCCCTGTGCGAAGCTCCTCTCATGGACTCTGGGGACACCATTCCCCTGTGCTTCGCGTTTCTACAAGCTAAGGATGTAAAACAGCCTCCTGACCAGGGACCCATGCCATCGGGGGTGACTTATATCAGCAAAGAGCCATCTTCTCACCAAGGGTCACCTCTCCTGCCCTTCAGACATTTCAGCCACGTCTTTCTAAAGGTGGAGATGTGGCTCTAACTTCGACATTACACTCTTCACAAGAAGGAAAAGTGGACAAAACAAGGCATTAAATTGCCGATGGATGCTTCATTGAAAAGTTGCATTTCCCCGTGTCCTTCCTACTTCTATTTGGTGAGGAATGTCTGAGTAGGCCGATTGAACATCAAAAGTTTTTATGTTATAAGATTAATTAATTAATGAATGTACTTTTCTTGAGCCCACGGGTCTCTGCGGCTCTTCCGCCTCTGCTATTGCAGGCAGAGTGACTGCACGTGCCCACCCACTCACAGGAGCACATGGCTTTAACTACACATCTTTTTTGCGTTTCAGTTTCCTCATGAATTATGCAGTAGATTCTCCTGTAAAACTCCGTACGCTAATTACCACCCTGCCTAGGCAGCTAAGCTCACTGACCCAGGATTCATCAACAGCCCACGCACAACTCGAATGTCAGTGCTTCCAAGGCTGGGTGAGGATGCTCTCCCCACGTGAAAACAGGAAGCAGGTGCAATTAACTGGGAAGTGCAGAGGGCAGATCATGACCACAGTTAACTACTTCACAGGGAGAGGAGCTGATTCCAGTAGTGACCTGAGAGCTCTGATTTCGGTCATTAACTTAGTAAAATGCTCTAACTAGTTACATGCATCCACATAGCCTCAGCTATCCGCTCAACTCACATAAACGATATCCAGCACCAGGCCTCTCTGCACACGGGGACAAGAGGATCCTGAATATCTGTGTGCTCGAGTGGCCATCCATGATTTGGCAAAAGAACATTCTGTAACTCTGGCGTCAGAAGGCCCAAGTAGTGCTCAAGTCCCTTTCAGCTGCTCTATGAAGTGTGAAGAATCCCTGGTTCCATTCAAGAGCCTTCTAGTAGTTTCCAAATTACGTGTCAGTCCACATCACATTCCTGTAAGGAGGATTCAGAATACAACCAGATCAAGTATGCATTAGAATAAAAGATGGAATCCCAGATCTGAATTCTTTGCATTTGTGTAGAAATCTTCAAAGTTTTAGTTCAATTTGTCTTTACAGTGTAATCTTGAAGATGTGGGTTTCATAGAAATGGAATCTTCCTTGATGTAAGCCAAAAAGAAGGTTGCATGATTGTTCTTATTTTAGTGAATTTAAATTGCCACAAGGGATAATGGAAACATTAGTGATCATTAAGAGGATGTTGTGCTCATCTGGTTTATTAAATATTCTGATAGCCTCAGTTTTATATTGTGTGTTAAGAATACTGATATTTGGTGAGGTATGACCAAGTAACTTTGTGACTTTCCTGAAATGCCTGCATCACCTAACAACCTGCTAAGAGACAAGAAAAGGGGGTAGTTTGGAAGACTTCTTAGAAATAAATGTGCCATTTCTAAAAAGAAAGAAAATGAAACATTTGGCTTTTGTTAGATTGACAACTACACAAAGGACACATCTGCTTGGTCAATTCGAGAAACAATTCAGAGATGCACTTTGAAAAATGTTTCACCAGTTTTCAGCTGTCTCCACAAGCCCCATAACACACCCCTTTTCTCAATGTTCCAGTAGAATATTCCACAACTGCCAGTAACAAACTTCAGGTTTTGGCACTTTCCCCAGGTACAGATCTCAGTTCCTTTACGAACAAAGTGGTATTTAGAAAGATACTTTGCTGACTTGAATGTATTTCTAAGGGTATTTGGAAAGTAATAGTACACATACAATTTGTCAATATTAACATAAACAGATATCAAAGCCACTGGTAAACCCGGTGGAAACGTTTGTCTTGAGGGCTGCATGTCTGTGTTGCCATATTTTCCTTACAAACCCTTGCAGTCACAATACTTACATTGCTCACCTTCCCTCACTTCTCCATCAATGTCCAGTGCCTGTGTCTGCCTCTCAACCTCCACCTGCAGCAAAATAAATTTTTCATTGTCCTGCACATAATACATTTATGAAACAGTGTGGTGAGGACTAAATACATACTCATGTTCCCTCCAGGCTGATGATCTTTCAAATAATGATCTGGTCCAAACAAGTACTTCCTTCCTTTGAGAAACATCCTGTCTAAGGTGCAAGCTCATCTCATTCCAAACCCTTGGCCTCTCCCATAGTCTTCACCTTCCACTTGCTAATGGCAGAACAGGAGCTTGTATTTACATTACTGAAAGGAAAATGACTCCAGTCCCTGAAGGAGTTTCTAGGGGTAATATTGTGAATGGCATTTGGTCCTTTGTTTCACAGCATGTTGTGACCCTAAGTGAGATTAATAGAGAGGAAGATGCCCTCAGGCCGATGAGCTCTGTAAAACACAAGGCAGAGCCATGGCCAGCAAGAGCATCTCAGAGGCCCAGGGCTGTGTCTTGCTCAGGGGTGATGGGGGCTGCAAGCCAGGCATGGCAGGTCCAAGCCAGACCATGTCTGGAAGCAGAGAAGGACCTGGTTAGTGGACAATATTCACGTGGATAATAGGATGGCTAAGCTAAGTTCTTTGTGTCTTACAATAGTCACAAAAAGATAACAAAATGTAACACAGGTGCCCTGGAAAAATAAATTTTAAAAAATGGTACTTTTTTAAGCCCAATACTTCAATCAGGTTCAAAATTGTTAGTTTCTATAAAAGGCCCTAGCATCTATACACATTAGAATGCATGGCTTCCCTTGCCAAGTGGATTTCCCTAATCTGAGTGGTGAAGGTCGGTAAATACACTTAAGTAATTTCTAGAGGAGGATGTGAATATCACTAAACAGCTCCCAACTTGCAGGCATTGAGCTTCCCCAGAAAATGATGCAATGTGCGTTCCTGTTGAATTAGAGACACAGGTTACAGTAGGGTGAACCAGCCAAGTCAATCAATTTAGGGAAACAACAAAACAAAACTAAAAATGAAATAATGTTGTTTTGACCAAATTACAGTTTGAAAGGATGCGTGTTTTCTTTCTAGCTGATTTGGGATTGTATTGTGGTGACTGTAGAAAAAACCACAAAGGTCTAAAAAGAAGCCTAATCTAGAATATCGTCCAGTGGATATTGCTTCTATTAAGTAAAATAAATGACTCATATTTCTTTTTGAATAAACCAAATAATTACTGAGAACTTCTTTAGGGTCAAGTTCTGTGCTTGACAAGTGTGAACATGAATAAGATGTTCTTCCTAACTTTGTAAAAGTTATAGTTGAGTTAGGAAGATAAAGAAGCAATTAATTTCTGTGGAGTGGGAGACATTCCCTATTAGAATCTTGGGGGTGAATCTGTGAGAAAACAGAAGAGGGCACCTGACAAGCTGAAATAATGAGGAAATGTTCTGGGGGAGATAAAAGGTGGGTGGAAAGAAATCTGGGAGAGTGGGGTGGGTTCTGATTATGGATGGATGGGCGGGGAGGTGGTGGGTGGATAGATGGATGAATGGGTGAATGGATGGATGGATGGAGAAACTGATCAGTGGATGGATAGATGAGTAGATGGGTGGATGAAGAATGGATGGATGGGTGGGTGAGTAATAAAAGGATGGATGAGGGGGTGGATGGGTGAATGGGTGGATGAACGAGTGGGTGGATGGATGATGAATGGATGGATGTGTGGGTGCATGGATGAGTGAATGGATGATGGATGGATGGATATGTGTGTGAGTGATTAATGGGTGGGTGGATGATGGATGGATGGATGGATAAATGGATGGATGGATGAATGAATGAGTGGATGGATGAATGGATGGATGAATGGGTGGATGGGTGGGTGGATAATGGATAAATGGGTGGGTGGATGATGAATGGATGGATAGGCGAATGATGATTGAATGGGTGGATGGGTGAATGGGCCGATGGATGACTCGATGTCTATGCGGGTGGGTGGGTGGGATGCATGGATGAGTGAATAAAGGAATGGATGGCTGCGTGGGTACATGTGTGAATGGGTCGATGGATAAAAGAATGAAGTGAATAAATGAATGACATATTTAAATAACTGATTGAATTATTGTAAGGGTGAACTACAGATAATAACCAGCGCTATAAAATTAATCTTGAAAGGTAAGAAAAAAGGACTGGATTATAAAATACCTTACTTTTTGTGATAAATTCAATAGAATGATTTAATAGAAAACCAATGCTGCAGCCTTCTAGAAAGAAAGAAATGACCGTGTATGAATTTCCTGGGACTGCCATAACAAAGTACCACAGACTGGGTGGTTTAAACCACGGACATTTGTTTCTTCACAGTTCTGGAGACCAAACGTCCAAGAGTCAGATGTTGGCCGGGTTGTTTTCATTCTGAGGCCTCTCTCCCTGGCTGGTCACCTTCCCCTGCGTCTTCACACAGTCATCCCTGTGTGTGTGTCTGTGTCCTAATCTCCTCTTCTTATTAAAGACACCAGTTGTATGTAACTAGGGCCAAACCTAATGGCCTTACTTTAACTTAATTACCTCTTTGACAACCTTATCTCCAGGTACATTCTGAAATGCTGGGGGTCAGCCCTTTAACTTAGGAACCCTGGGGACACAGTTCAGTCCCAAACAGGCTGCAGTAAAAGAGAGCAGGAATCTTCCTCTCACTGGGTCACAGCAGAGGAGGCCCTGACTACTCCTCTTTGGGTACCAAAGATGTAGAATGGGCTACTGCATTACCACAATTGGCTAAGGAGAACACATTTCCTCCCTTGAGACAGCGTGCAACACAGGTGATAGGAATCTAAGGAGAACACCTGGCAAGGTCTGTACATGTGCATTCCAGGGTGAAAAAAATGCTTGCCTGGTGTCTCTTAGCCCCTCCACTTCCAGTTTCAGAATCACATACAACACGGGTTTTACCTTTGGCATGATCTGTGCTCGGGAGATCCATAGCTATGGGTACATTAGATTCTCCACTCCATGCATAAGTTCACGCAAGATTGCATATATCCAAAACTGAAAGTTGAGAAGACTCTGAATTGGTGCAGGCTGGTTAATGCAGTAACAGACAGGCCCCCATCCCAAGCTTTGTCAAGGGGCTGTGCTCATCCTGACCATGCAGGGTCCCAGGCTGATGGGGCAGCCACCGTTTCCATGCTGCCACTGCGTGCAGAGGGGAGATTTGGTGGGGCCCGGCGTGCTCTGGTCACACCACTCCCACTAAAGCATGCCAGGTGGTCACACCACAGTGAAATGTGAACCCACGGTGTGCTCGGAAGGAGGGAGATGGAGCCATCTGTGAGCCGCTCTCGGGACTGTCACGGGACCACGTTCTTCTAAGAGCCTTGCTTGACAGAGAAGCGTCCTGAAGTTCACATGGTAAGGGGGCAGCTGCAGCCACAGGTAGTTCCAAAGAACTCTGAGGGTCACCAGCCCATTGTTCCCCAGTGTCCCCCACCCACGGTGCATGGCATTTTTGTGAGCACAGCCTCCTGCAACAATTCTGAGACACAGCAGGCACCACTGCTATGGAGGTACCACTGCTGAGGAGGGCTGTGCTGTGGCCCCACTGTGTCCTCACAGCTGAACCACGGAGAGCCCAGAGCTGCTGCAGTACCTTTAATTTCATTCTATCTCACGATGGTAGGAGGAGGGAGAGCAAGTGGTGTCCATCTGGGCCTCCAGTGGGACAAGGGGACTGACCCAAGCATCGCCAGGCTGCCCGGGCATGGCCTGTGTCCAGCGGAGCCCCCGCTGGCTCTCACATTGCCTTGCCCTGCACCCCGGACAAGCTCCCACACACCCCAGAAGAATGGAGCTGGGCAGTCCATCTGCGGGTTACAGAGAAACACAAAGTAAAGGTAGTCACTTAAATACACCACTTAAAAAAAGGGCTTAGGTCATGAGCAGGCAATTCATAAAACAAAGGAAAAAATGCAAATATATCTTTCTAAAAACATAGTGATACAGGAAACGCAGGTTAAGTATCAATGAGACATTATCTTTTCCCATATTGCGAGTGACTAAAGATGCAATAATGGTGGCTCCAATGAGGATGCCGGAAATGAAGGACTCACACATTCACCACTGGTGGAAATGCAGATGGGAACCTTTCTGGAGAAACAAACTGGCGCTCAGTTTCCAAATTCAAGATGTACAAAATATGGGGTGATATGGTTCGGATGTGTCCCCCCTCAATCTCATCTTGAATTGTAGCTCCCATAATTCCCAGGTGCTGTGGGAGGGACCCAGTGGGAGATAATTAAATCCTGGGGGCAGTTTTTCCCCTACTGTTCTCCTGGTTGGTGCTGAGTAAGTCTCATGAGATCTGATGGTTTTATAAGAAGTTTCCCCCTTTGCTTGGCTCTTATTTTCTCTTGCCTGCCACCATGTAAGACATGCCTTTCACCTTCTGCCATGATTGTGAGGCCTCCCCAGCCATATGAATTTGTGAGCCCATTAACCCTCTTTTCCTTTATATAAATTGACCAGTCTCGGGTATGTCTTTATCAGTAGCACGAAAATGGACTAATTCACTGAGGAAACAGGAAATCCCCCACCCCCCTTGGCTCCGTGTTGGCTCCCAGACTGGCTGGCTCCCTGCTTGCTCTGTGCTCCCGTCTCTTCCTAAGCAGGTCCTTCGGGGTCTGGAGATTCCACGGGGCCAGGCATTACCAGCAGTCTTGCTTCCTGTGCCTTCCCTGTGGGATTTAGGGGGTACTCTTCCTCTTCCACTATCTGCCCCCAGAGTCAGGGAGTCCTCCCGTGGATGCCGACCACAGCTCACTGGGCAGGGTGGCCTTTACAGGTGGTCCCTGGATGAGCCCTGGGCCACTTGCATCTGAGGCATTGGTTAGGTGGAGAGGCTTGGGGCCCACTTGGCTGCATACGGAATCCACAGGATGGAGATGTGGCCAGAGGTAACCGTCAGCCCTTTCATCCTGAAGTCTGTGCAACATTCTCTGATCCAGATGAGGAGCATCCAGGAAGCAGCATTTGGGTGCCCTCCACCTGCCCACTCACACAGCCTGCGTGGGTCTGGCTGGCTTTTGTCTCATGGCTTGCTCGGTAGGATCTCTGAGTAAATGGCTGGCTCGCGGCACTCAGTGCCCTTTGACTCCTAACCTATACCCTTGGACCCACAGTTCCAAATCTGGAATTTATCCTAACAGTCAGACAAATACCCACAGGGGTGTGTACTTTCAGGATGTGCTGCAGAGTGGCTTTGCAGGCTAGAGTTTCCTGGGAGGTCATCACTGAGATATTGGTTCAAGGCACCTGCTCAGCCCACACTCTGGCAGAAGACACTGAGGCAGGATTTGAGGTACAGAATGCTTATTAGGGATCAAACCCATGCCAGGAGGAGGAGGTAGCAGGATGGGCAGAGGGAGAAGCTCAGGGCTGTGCAGGCTCTGCTTGTCTGGTCCTGAGGGGAGCTATGGGGCTGTAGCTGGCCTGGCTGGGTCATGGGTGTAGCTGCCTGGTGGGTAGTGTCAGCATTCTCGCTGGGAGGACACTAGGCTGGGAAGGCTCCAGGGCTGGGGTTCTTGAGTGAGCAAACCAAAGCCCATTGTAAACAGAAAAAGAGAACTAGCGACTTTACTAATCAGAAACCACCAACTCCCCTGTGGCTGGGGCTCCTGCTCTAACTGATTGGGTGCATTGTCTCTGTCTTCCTTCCCCATCCATCTGAGAGGTCACTGCCCTCGCTCTTCTCTGAACCTCCTCTGTTTCCGAGTGCTGCCCAATTCACGAGTCTTCTAATGGTCAAGTAAACTCACTTCAATGTGTTTTGCCTAAAGTTTTACTTTTATCAGGGTGACTTTCTTTCAGCAGGGTGATTGTGATGTGCACGCTGCCTACAGCTCAGGCCAACCTGCAGGCACAGATATGGGAGGCTCTGCTGATGGGAGCCTCAGTCTCCTGGAGGGGACTGGAGGCGAAGCTCTCTGAGCTTACAGCAAGGTGAGGAGTATCCAGACCTACAAGGACAGACATCAGGTTGGAAAGTCAGCACAGGAGACTATGACGCACCACAGTTACTTCAGGCCACGAGGAAGGCTTGGAAAAGGAATGTCCTTTTTACTTGTATTGCTGGATTTTTTGCCACAAGGATACATGATTAGAAAGGAATCCAGCTTTTGAGATTTTTGTAAAAAGAAAAAGGCATTTTAAAAAGATCCCCTTTGGCTTACCCATTAATGTCTGACTTGACAAGACATGAAGACTCCACATGAAGTTAATTTTCAATTCTTGCTGATAAAAATCTTGGATAAACTAACAGCTACAATAAAAACCTGCATCAGTTCCACTGAAACGTGAAGGAAATTTACGTTTTCATTTGTGCTGCTTGGGCAATTTTGCACATCATAAGTGAAATTTGTTTTTTTTTTTTTTTGAGACGCATGTAATGTAAAGTCACAAATATTTCTTTTTTTTTTTTTTTTTTTTTGAGACAGAGTCTCACTTCTTTATCCAGGCTGGAGTGCAGTGGTGCAATCTCAGCTCTTTACCCAGGCTGGAGTGCAATGGTGCGATCTCAGCTCTTTACCCAGACTGAAGTACAATGGTGTGATCTCAGCTCACTGCAATCTTTGCCTCCCAAATTCAAGCAATTCTCCTGCCTCAGCCTCCCGAGCAGCTGGGATTACAGGCACATGCCAGAACGCCCAGCTAATTTTTATATTTTTAGTAGAGACAGGGTTTCGCCATGTTGGCCAGGCTGGTCTCAAACTCCTGACCTCAAGTGATCCACCTGCTTCGGCCTCCCAAAGTGCTGGGATTACAGCCGTGAGCCACCGCAGCTGGCCTATTTTTGGTTTTCAATTAATAGCTGGTTGCAACTTCAAGTATTTTTTTATAACCTAGGAGCCTCTCCCCTATCTTTGATAATAACATTTCAAACATAATTTTTTCTAAATGCAAGAAGCTACTGCAGAAAATAGACAGGGACAGTGCCACATGAGGGCTGAAAATAAAGGTCAAGAATGTCCACACTGGGAAGGGGAAGAGAGCCCAGGGGCGTCTGGCTGGAGAAGAGGGAAGGGTGGCGGCCATGGGTGGCAGCTCCCATTAAGTGGGGCTACCAGTAAAATGCAGGACACTCACCTAAACATGAATGTCAAATAACAAGTAAGATTTCCATGTAAGGATTTTCCTGTGCACCCGTTGATGTGCCTTGTTCCTATTTGCAGAACCTGGTGCTCCTAGAGAGGTGTGAGTGAGTGAAGACAGGTGTCCTTCAGAGAAATTCATGCAAGGAAGGCAGATTGAGGCCACATGGGGAGGAGGCAGGAGCCCCAGGCCCTGGGATGGGAGAGGCTCCCGAGGCACTGGAGATCTGCAGAGATGGAAAGGGTGGGCAACAGGGCCTCTGATCTTCAGATTTGCTTTCTGCAGTTTCAGTTCCCTGTGGTTAACCTCAGTCTGAAAATATTACATGAAAAATTCCAGAAATAAACAACTCATCGGTTTTAAATCATGCATCATTCTGGGTATTGTTATAATTGTTCTGTTTTATTATCAGTTATGGTGGATCTCTTACTATGCCTAATTTATAAACTAAGCTTCACCGTGGGTATGTGTGTAGGAAAACACAGCATACATAGGACTTGTTCTCTCCATGGCTTCAGGTGTCCACTGGGGTCTTGGAAAGATTCTCCTTTGGATAAGGGGGCTGCTGTATTGGAAAGGCCAGAGTTGGAAGCCCATCGTCAGGCTGCTGATGCTGCTGGAGAAGCTCCGCGCAGAAAATGCAATCTGGTGATGATGCCCAGGAGGGCTTGGAGAGCACGTGGCTCTGCCTCCCTCGGGGGGGCTGGACATTTCATGAGGACTCACCTGGGGCAGACAAGGGAGGGATGGCTGAACAGAGGAGGGCATGGGTGAACCCAGAGTCCTGTCCTGCAGAAACAACTGCAGCCGCCACCTGGGAAATGCACCTGCAGGGAAGGTGGGGCTGGTCTCCAAGAAACAGAAGAGGGAAGAAATGTCTCTGGTCTGGTTCCTGGAAAGGAGAATGTGAGCGTGGCTTGCAGAGGAGGTGAGGGCCTGGCTGCAGGGAGAGCCCAGCCTCCTGGGCCTGGAGCTTCCTCAGGGGCCTGGCAGTGGCTGCTCAAGGAGTTTGGTGCCAGCGCCCCCCACCCTCTGTCAGTCCTGGGTCATGGCTGCAGGTGAGGGGGCACAACCTTCCAGGCACCTTCTCCGCACTCCCTGGCCCCTGCAATCCTCAGCTGGGCTGCAAGGAGAGCCTTGGCCCCAGCACCCCATTCCTTGGGGGAAGGGCACCCCCACAAAGCCAGAGATAGAGACCCCCACGCAAGCGGTGCAGGAGGAAACCAGGGCTTGCCTGCACATGAACCAGGTGATATTCATGACCTCTCCCACTGCAGTTTTGTCCAGACCCTCCCTGCCCAGCTAGATAAATGCTGAGCTGTGGGGAGGCAGAGAAGGGACAGAGGTCTCCGCCTGTGATGTCTGCAATGCTGGGGCCACAACAGGAGCCGCCCACTGGGTGAGGTCTGAGAACCCATGGAGTGGTCTTTGCTTCTGAGCTGGTGCCGGGTGGTGGCCAGCCTTGTTTGCAGTGGGAAGCCAGGCAGGCGTGGGGTGTGGGTGTCTGGGGAGATGGCCTGATTGAAACCCACAAGTTTCCAGCCGTGCCAGAGCTGGCATAGAAGTGATCCAAAGGCAACAGTAGTTTGTGGGCAGCGCGGCAGTCAGGAGATGGGCCCCAGGCTGCCTGCAGGATACAGGGAGGCCACCACACATCACTGGGTGCCAGCAGGCATCTGTGGTTCCCCTAGGACTGATGGGGAGATGCCAGCAGAGAGTGGGGAAAAGACAGAAGCCCTGGCCACAGTCCTGTCCCTCACCGGAGTCATCCCTGAGTGAGGGAGGAATGAAAACTATGCCTGGTTTTTCTTGGAGTTGACTGGATTTATTTTCCTTCACTGTCTGGAAGTGGAGCTTAACCAAGAGATGAAGTTGCATGCCTGAAAATGTGCGGAACACTACTTTTCTTGTACCCTTTGTTTGTGGCATGGGAAGTACTTTTTTCTGCACAAGGTGCATATTTGGAACTCTGGAAGTTTTGACCCCAGGTACGCCCCATGGGAGCTGGATAAAGGAGCTTCTGACATGTGTCTGGGTTTGAAAATGCTCTGCTGGGGGCTGATGGAAGGAGAGACAACATCGGGGGTTGTGCAGAGAGGATCGGAAAACACACACCTCTGATGGGCAAAGCAGAGGAGCCAACTGCCAGGCAGAGAGAGGAGGATGGAGGAGCCCCTTCCCCTGCATCAGGACCCGGGGGTGGGAGGCTTGGAGGCTGGGAGAGCAACAACGAGGACCAGAGATGCAGCAGGGCCTCCCAGCTCTGCCTCCACAGGCCACACTCCAGCACAGACTAGAATGAGCCTCTGTGCTTTTCCTCAGACTCAGGAACAGCAGAGGGCCGAGAGCTGGCTATGTCTTTCCAGCCTGAATTTGAGCTGCAGCTGGAGCTACAAACTTTGAGATGGGAGTCCCTCTGCACTGGAGCACGGCTCTGCCAAACTTTCAGGGCTTGCCTGGGGAGGGAATGGTGTATCTTCCTCCTGGGCCACGGCATCTGCAGGCACTCAGGGCACTCAGGGAAGGCATCCTCACATACCTATGGAAGTCAGTAACTCCCATGTCATGCCCTATGTTTCAGATTTGTGCTTCTTGTGTTTTCCTGCAGTAAAAATGGGATAACTTGGTTGGGAAGCAGTGATAATCTCTGAATTGAGGGAATTTGCAGAGACAAGATACTGTGGCAAATATAAACAGAACTGGATTTTTTCCTCAGCTGAGGCTCCTGTATGTGAACTCTAATTATCAATAGATCTTAAAACAGATAAAGCTGGCAGGTGTTGAGTCCTTACGGCATCTTTATGAGGCACCTACTATTGTTTCCACCTTTCAGATGACGAAAATGAGCCTTGATAATGTTCCAACAGCAAGTGAGTACAGGGTCTGGAACGGATAGCAAGTCTCATTTGGAAAATACACATTATTTGAATACATTGAAAACAAGTATGCTGATGTTTATATACCATAGAAACATTGAGTCCAAGTTCTATGATTTACTCCTACATAATGCATTAACTATTTAACGCATCTATTAAACTTCTGCGGCTTTATTTTAAAATTGCATGTTTTCGTGAGGCACAACGGAGCAAGGATGGATTCATTTGCCCACACGTAGCTTGCAAAAAAGCCTGCCTTGGGTCCTAGGCGGGCCAGCTGGACGTGATTGTTAACAGACACTGACAGCTTCTAACCTGGGGCTCATGCTCCCTACCTGATGGCAAAGGTGGGATTTGGGATGAGACTGTCTCCCCGTGACGCGATGCCCATCCTCACGCATCTGAGGGAAAGAACAGCGGCTCATTCTGCAATTTCCCTCCATGTTTATGTGGTGCCAGAACATAACCACACCTGTCCTTTCTACAAGTCAATGGGCTCCCTTAGAATGTAAAGTTACTCCACTGCTGAATCAAAAAATATTCGAGCACTGTCAGATTTGCAGATGGCTGACACATGCACGGAGACCCTCTCAGCTGCGGAAGACATTGCTGTGAACTGCGGGACGTCTATACTTCTGCCAATCTCAGAGCTGGGAGCTGTCCTGAGACCCAGGCCTCCTGCCCTGGCCCCAGTGGGTAAACGCTTCTTGGGATGTGGTTTGCTCTTGGTCTGGTGTCTGTGCCCTTCAACTCCCAGAATTCTTGGGGCAGGTTTGAGTTTCCCAGATTACTTTTTAGCTCCTCCGTCCTGGGGAACCCCTGCTGGCCTCTGTGGCCATGTGGCTCCCCTCTGCCTCCTCCCCAGCCTTGGTGTCTGCCCTTTCCAAGGGGAGATGGGGCCTGGGGAAGCTGTGCCAGGCAGACTCTTCCCACGTGAGCTTCCAGCAGAGCAGAGCTTAGTGGCAGCTCACAGGAAGCATCTGGATTATGTAGGAATTCAGCCTCTTCTTACTTCCTCATTGTATTAGTCTGTTTTCACGCTGCTAATAAAGACATATCCCAGACTGGGTAACTTATTAGAGGAAGAGGTTTAATGGACTCACAGTTCCACATGGCTGGGGAGGCCTCACAATCATGGCAGAAGGCTAAGGAGAGGCAAAGTCACCTCTTACATGGCGGCAGGCAAGAGAATGTGTGCAGGGGAACTGCCCTTTATAAAACCATCAGATCTCATGAGACTTAGTCACTATCACTAGAACACACTATCACTAGAACACACTATCACTAGAACACACTATCACTAGAACGGCATGAGAAAAACCCACCCCCATGATTCAATTACCTCCCACCAGGTCCCTCCCTTGACATGGGGATTATGGGAGCTACAATTCAAGATGAAATGTGGGTGGGGACACAGTCAAACCAGACCACTCATTAACGACACTCAAACCCACTTCACATGGAGAGATATTTTTATGTTTTTTATTTTATTATACATAAAATTAGGAAATTTATATCTTAAATCTATCAAAAAATACGTAGCATTATTTAACAATTTTTTATGTTAGACATAAAAGAAACTTGGGCCTTGCTTCCTTTTGCCATTTAAGTTTCCCCATGACCTTTAAGTGCAGAGCTTTTTAATAATCCAAAGCAAACTTGATTCTTTAAACTAAAGGAAGAATATTAGTGTGTATAAAATCTTGAATGGTCACATGGGAAATCTTTGTGTCAGAGCTGTTCTGCTTGGATTACAGTGTGGCTGGCTGGTTGGGGAAATGAGTTTCTTATTCTGAGTTATGCCAGAGCTTCTGTGCAGCAAACTGCACCCCTTCCAAGGGCACACCTGGGAGTGGAGCTGCCTGGAGAGGCAGGGCTTCCTGGAGATTTAGAGAAAGAGAAGTGGCTGATGCTTTGTTTGTGTTTGTTTTGCACTGACAGGCAATGGAGGAAAAGTAGTAAGACATTTAAATTCAAAGAAAAAACTGCAATTTTTTTTCATCCTAGAAAACTCTTGTTCAACTAAAGCTATAAATTATGAAGGAAAATCCAACATATGGTGTGCAGGGAAGCGGAAGCCTCAGGGTCAGAAGAGGCCCTGCGCGGTGACTAGGAGCCTGGAATCACGTGGGGGCACATCCTGAGTTCCGCTCCTGCAAATCTAACCGCATCTCAACACTCTCATGGCCCATCCAATGCGGCTTGCAAACCAGCTACAGAATGTGAAGGGCTCAGTGCAAATTAAAAACCCATGGCCCCTTCTCAAAAAATTATAAACCATTTCAGACCAGTGACAGCAGAGCATTAGACCAGGCAGGACTCTCTGGGCAGGGCCCGGGTGACGCTCGGTCCATGCGTCCAGGACAGTGGCCCTGAAGGTCACTTTCTCACGTTTGCATTTGCCTGTTCCATCCTCTCCAATCCCAGCCCCACTGGCCTGGGAGACACACTTTCTCCATCTCACAGGTGAGACATGCATGCTTCAAGTGTTAAAGGAGCATTCCTGGAGACGTCTGTTCGGCGGGTCTGGATCCAGGCACCTGCCTGACCATTCCACATCCTATTCAGAGAATCCAGCCTTCCCCATCCTGTGGTGGCTGGGCCAGCCCGTATTTTGAGGTCTTGGCAGATCAAGGTGCTTCTGCTCAGTGCAGGCGGCATCGAAGCCCGATGATGTACCCTCCATGGTCGTCAAAATGAAACTGTCTGAGAGTCAATTTCCCCTTTATACGTTCCATTACAAGGTTCTTATATTACAGGAAAAAATAGCTGAAATGTATAAGATGTCAATATTTGTGTTTTCCTGTAAACTTTAGCTTTAATATTCCACCGTATTCACAGTCTTCAAGCCTGGGACAACTCCATATCGTGCTAAATGCTTCAATGTGGAAGGTGATAGTGGATGTAGTGAAATATTTGGGGGCTGCTGGACATATTTTGTCAATGATTTCTAGGTAAAACTCTTACTTTGGAAGTATTGAAAATTGTCACATGGAGGAGATAGGTGGCTTAAGTTGAAAGTGGTATTTGAAAGGTTACTAAAGCGCCCTTGACACATAAACATCAACGAATTACTTCACGGTCTGTTTTATCTTTCACAGTCTACTTAAAATATTGAAATAAATAGTAGCTCCACTTTTCAGATAGTGTCCTTATAGCAATAAATGCGTAAAGAAGAAGTGAAATATTTAGAAATGTCACCATGATTTAGCTAATTCTCATGTATTCTAATATATAATTGGAAACATAAAAACATTATTTGTACTCCAATAATCACGCATGAGCATTTTTTCCTGGATAAAGTATTGACATTTCCAGTTAGGAACTCTCTTTTTATTTCCTGTATATCTATTCTGTTGTATTTCTGCAGTTTTTGCCTTGTTTTTCTCATGAGAGTTTCCACAGGCCTTATTTGGAAGAGCATTGAACAGACTTCAAGGTAGGCTTGCTATCAGCGGGTTCACAGGTGTCCCTGAGCTTGATATCAGCAGGTTCACAGGGTGTCCTTGGGCACAAGGGTCCCCCACCTGACCAGCCCAGGCCCTCCCCCAACACCCACCTCTTCCACCCAGGTGCTGTGTGGACCTGATCTTAACTCTGCAAAGTCACTGATATGGCTTGAATCTGTGTCCCCACCCAAACCTCACGTTGAATTACAATCCCCAGGGTTGGAAGAGGGGCCTGGTGGGCCTGGTGGGAGGTGACTGGGTCATGGGCGATTTCTCACGAATGGGTTAGCAGCATCCTCCTCATAGTGAATGAGTTCTTGTGAGATCTGGTGGTTGAAGTGTGCAGAACCTCCCTCTCCTCTCCTCTCTTCCTCCTGCTCCCACCTTGTGAGACGCCTCGCTCCCTCTGCCTTCCGCTACAATTGGAAGCTTCCTGAGGCCTCCCCAGAAGCAGAAGCTGCTGTTTCCTCTACAGCTTACAGAACCACAAGTCAGTGAAACCCTTTTTCTTCATAAGTTACCTTGCCTCAGGTATTTCTTTATACCATTATGAGAATGACCTGAGTCAGTCACCTTTGCCTTAAAGTAAAGCCAGTGATGACAAAGAGTCTATATGACTCTTTACACACTCATGAATGTAAAACATTACACATATTTCATTTTCATCCTAAGTATCTGTTTAAGAATAAAGAAGAAAAGAGAGAAGAATCAAATAGATGCAATAAAAAATGATAAAGGGGATATCACCACCAATCCCACAATAATACAAACTACCATCAGAGACTACTATAAACACCTCTACACAAATAAACTAAAAAATATAGAAGAAAAGGATAAATTCCTGGACAAACACACCCTCCCAAGACTAAACCAGGAAGAAGTTGAGTCTCCGAACAGACCAATAACAGGCTCTGAAATTGAGGTAATAATAGCCTACCAACCAGTCCAGGACCAGAGAGATTCACAGCCGAATTCTACCGGAGGTACAAAGAGGAACTGGTACCATTCCTTCTGACACTATTCCAATCAATAGAAAAACAGGGAATCCTCCCTAACTCATTTTATGAGGCCAACATCATCCTGATCCCAAAGCCTGGCAGAGACACAACAAAAAAAGTGAATTTTAGACCAATATCCCTGATGAATATAGATGCAAAAATCCTCAATAAAATACTGGCAAACCAAATCCAGCAGCACATTAAAAAGCTTATCCACCATGATTAGGTTGGCTTCATCCCTGGGATGCAAGGCTCGTTCAACATATGCAAATCAATGAACATAATCCATCACGTAAACATAACCAATGACAAAAACCACAGGATTATCTCAATAGATGCAGAAAAGGCCTTTGATGAAATTCAGCAGCCTTTCCTGCTAAAAACTCTCAATAAACTGGGTATTGATGGAATGTATCTCAAAATAATAAGAGCTATTTATGACAATATCATACTGAATGGGCAAAAATTGGAAGCATTCCCTTTGAAAACTGGCACAAGACAAGGATGCCCTCTCTCACCACTCCTATTCAACATAGTGTTGGAAGTTCTGGCCAGGGCAATCAGGCAGGAGAAAGAAATAAAGGGTATTCAATTAGGAAAAGAGGAAGTCAAATTGTCCCTGTTCGCAGATGACATGATTGTATATTTAAAAAACCCCATCGTCTCAGCCCCAAATCTCCTTAAGCTGATAAGCAACTTCAGCAAAGTCTCAGGATACAAAATCAATGTGCAAAAATCACAAGCATTCCTGTACACCAACAACAGACAAACAGAGAGCCAAATCATGAGTGAACTCCCATTCACAATTGCTTCAAAGAGAATAAAATACCTAGGAATCCAACTTACAAGGGATGTGAAGGACCTCTTCAAGGAGAACTACAAACTACTGCTCAAAGAAATAAAAGAGGACACAAACAAATGGAAGAACATTCCATGCTCATGGATAAGAAGAATCAATATTGTGAAAATGGCCATACTGCCCAAGGTAATTTATAGATTCAATGCCATCCCCATCAAGCTACCAATGACTTTCTTCACAGAATTGGAAAAAACTACTTTAAAGTTCATATGGAAGCAAAAAAGAGCCCACATTGCCAAAACAATCCTAAGCAAAAAGAACAAAGCTGGAGGCATCACGCTACCTGACTTCAAACGATACTATGAGGCTACAGTAACCAAAACAGCATGGTACTTGTACCAAAACAGACATATAGACCAATGGAACAGAATAGAAGCACCACACATCCACAACCATCTGATCTGTGACAAACCTGACAAAAAGAAATGGGGAAATGATTCCCTATTTAATAAATGGTGCTGGGAAAACTGGCTAGCCATATGTAGAAAGCTGAAACTGGATCCTTTCCTTACATCTTATACAAAATTAATTCAAGATGGATTAAAGACTTAAATGTGAGACCTAAAACCATAGAAAATCTAGAAGAAAACCTAGGCGATACCATTCAGGACATAGGCATGGGCAAGGACTTCATGACTAAAACACCAAAAGCAATGGCAACAAAAGCCAAAATTGACAAATGGGATCTAATTAAACTAAAGAGCTTCTGCACAGCAAAAGAAACTACCATCAGAGTGAACAGGCAACCTACAGAATGGGAGAAAATTTTTGCCATCTACCCATCTGACAAAGAGCTAATATCCAGAATCTACAAAGAATGCAAACAAATTTACAAGAAAAAAACAACCCCATCAAAAAGTAGGCAAAGGATATGAACAGACCTTTCTCAAAAGAAGACATCTATGCAGCCAACAGACACATGAAAAGATGCTCATTGTCACTGTTCATCAGAGAAAGAAATGCAAATCAAAACCACAATGAAATACCATCTCATGCCAGTTAGAATGGCAATCATTAAAAAGTTAGGAAACAACAGATGCTGGAGAGGATGTGGAGAAATAGGAACTCTTTTACACTGTTAATGGGAGTGTAAATTAGTTCAACCATTGTGGAAGACAGTGTGGCGATCCCTCAAGGATCTAGAAATAGAATTACCATTTGACCCAGCAATCCCATTACTGGGTATATTCCCAAAGGATTATAAATCATGCTACTGTAAAGACACATGCACACGTATGTCTATTGCAGCACTATTCACAATAGCAAAGACTTGGAACCAACCCGAATGTCCATCAATGATAGATTGGATTCAATTCTGCCACAAGAAAATGTGGCACATATACACCATGGAATACTATGCAGCCATAAAAAAGGATGAGTTCATGTCCTTTGCAGGGACATGGATGAAGCTCGAAACCATCATTCTCAGCAAACTATACAAGGACAGAAAACCAAACACCACATGTTCTCACTCACAGGTAGGAAATGAACAATGAGATCACTCGGACACAGGAAGGGGAACATTGCACACCGGGGCCTGTCAGAGGCTGGGGAGCTGGGGGGGGATAGCATTAGGAGAAATACCTAATGTAAATAACGAGTTGATAGGTGTGGCAAACGAACATGGCACATGTACACCCATGTATCAAACCTGCACGTTGTGCATGTGTACCCTAGAACTTAAAGTATTAAAAAAAAAAAAAAAGAAAAGAAAGAAATAACCACTTAACCTCTTGTATGCCAGGGGACACCACAGTAAAAAACCAGGCGTGGTCCCTGGGAAGAAAAGGTGGCTTATTGGAAAAGACAAACAGCAAACCAAAGACAAATAGCAATTTGATCTAAGTGTCCTGGTTGCTCATCACTGATGAAACAATTCTAAAATACTACAATGTGAGAGCTGACCCAGTCAGGTAGGTCAGAGGAGGCTGTGTTGTGGAAAAGGCTTTTAATCTGAGGTGGAAAGAATTCCTGGAAACAAGCAAGGGAGGAAAAGCCACACATCAGATGCCAGGAGGGGAGGACAATGGATTATCAGTGGCAGGAGTGGCTCTGGGGACAGAAACGGCCCAAGTAAGAGCATGCCATGGCTTGGGAGGAAGCCCTACTGAGCAAATCATTATCACCATGGTAAGGACTAACATTTGCAGACATTTCCACCCACCAAGACTGTTTAAATATTCTACTTGTATTAATTAATTAACAATCTGATGAGGAAAGTAGTGTTATTTTTCCCATGTTACATGAAAGGGAATTAAGCACAGACACATGGATGAGTAAGTGAAACTGAGATTCCAATTACAGTTGGGAAGTAGAACTCTTGTCTCTGAACATGACTTTACTCTCTGGGAAACACTTGCCCAGGAAGATGAAGTTGCAAATACATTTGTTTGTTCAATGAATGTCCTGAAAATCAATAACCCGGACACCAGATCTCACTAGACTTGGCCACGACAAGAACTGGCAATGGGCTCCTCAGACACCCTCTGCTCTCTGAGACGCCCTCAGCACCCTTCCCTGTGGCACCACTGTCTCCTCATCCCAGCACAGTCTCCCCTAGGAAGACCTGACCTGAGCCAGGCCCTGCCCCTCCTGAGTGAGCTGCCAGCCCAGCCCAGCTTTGTCAAAAGTTTATTCAGTTGTTTTTCCCCCAGAGATTTGGCTGTCAGCAGAATAAAACAAACAAACAAAAAAATAAAACACAAAAAAACTTCTTAATTGTTCACTTATTTAGAACAAGAATGTATCCCCAAATTGATTTTTATTCACTTATTTGGGGCAAAAGTGTACCCTAAAATTTTCTTTAGAGAATTCTGACCCGTCTAGGAAGGTACAGGTGGAAATACTTTATTTAGATGATTAACGTCGGGCAGTTCCAAGATGGCCAAATAGGAAGAGCTCCAGTCTACAGCTCCCAGTGTGAGCGACGCAGAAGATGGGTGATTTCTGCATTTCCAACTGAGGTACCAGGTTCATCTCACTGGGGCTTGTCAGACAGTGGGTGCAGGACAGTGCATGCAGCACACCGAGTGTGAGCCAAAGCAGGGCGAGGCATCACCTCACCTGGGAAGTGCAAGAGGTCAGGGAAATTCCCTTTCATAGCCAAGCAAAGCTGTGACAGACGGCAGCTGGAAAATCGGGTCACTCCCACCATAATACTGCGCTTTTCCAATGGTCTTAGCAAACGGCACACCAGGAGATTATACCCTACGCCTGGCTCGGAGGGTCCTACACCCACAGAGCCTCGCTCACTGCTAACACAGCAGTCTGAGATCCAACTGCAAGGCGGCAGCGAGGCTGGGGGAGGGGCACCCGCCATTGCTGAGGCTTGAGTAGGTAAACAAAGCGGCCAGGAAGCTCGAACTGGGTGGAGCCCACCACAGCTCAAGGAGGCCTGCCTGCCTCTGTAGACTCCACCTCTGGGGGCAGGGCACAGACAAACAAAAGGCAGCAGAAACCTCTGCAGACTTAAATGTCCCTGTCTGACAGGTTTGAAGAGAGTAATGGTTCTCCCAGCATGGAGTTTGTGATCTGAGAACGGACAGACTGCCTCCTCAAGAGGGTCCCTAACCCCCAAGTAGCCTAACTGGGAGGCACCCCCGAGTAGGGGCAGACTGACACCTCACACAGCCGGGTACCCCTCTGAGACGAAACCTCCAGAGGAAGGATCAGACAGCAACATTTGCTGTTCAGCAATATTCACTGTTCTGCAGCCTCTGCTGCTGATACCCAGGCAAACAGGGTCTGGAGGGGACCTCCAGCAAACTCCAACAGACCTGCAGCTGAGGGTCCTGTCTGTTAGAGGGAAAACTAACAAACAGAAAGGACATCCACACCAAAACCCCATCTGTATGTCACCATCATCAAAGACCAAAGGTAGATAAAACCACAAAGATGAGGAAAAAACAGAACAGAAAAACTGAAAATTCTAAAAATCGAGTGCCTCTCCTCCTCCAAAGGAACGCAGCTCCTCACCAGCAATGGAACAAAGCTGGACAAAGAATGACTTTGACGAGCTGAGAGAAGAAAGCTTCAGATAATCAAACTTCTCCAAGCTAAAGGAGGAAGTTCGAGCCCATCGCAAAGAAGTTAAAAACCTTGAAAAAAGATTAGACGAATGGCTAACTAGAATAACCAATGCAGAGAAGTCCTTAAAGGACCTGCTGAAGCTGAAAACCAAGGCACAAGAACTATGTGATGAATGCACAAGCTTCAGTAGCCAATTCGATCAACTGGAAGAAAGGGTATCAGTGATTGAAGATCAAATGAATGAAGTGAAGTGAGAAGAGAAGTTTAGAGAAAAAAGAATAAAAAGAAATGAACAAAGCCTCCAAGAAATATGGGACTATGTGAAAAGACCAAATCTATGTCTGATTGGTGTACCTGAAAGTGATGGGGACAATGGAACCAAGTTGGAAAACACTCTGCAGTATATTATCCAGGAGAACATCCCCAACCTAGCAAGGCAGGCCAACATTCAAATTAGGAAATACAGAGAATACCACAAAGATACTCCTCGAGAAGAGCAACTCCAAGACACATAATTGTCAGATTCACCAAAGTTGAAATGAAGGAAAAAATGTTAAGGGCAGCCAGAGAGAAAGGTCGGGTTACCCACAAAGGGAGGCCCATCAGACTAACAGCTGATCTCTTGGCAGAAACTCTACAAGCCAGAAGAGAGTGGGGGCCAATATTCAACATACTTAAAGAAAAGAATTTTCAACCCAGAATTTCAGATCCAGCCAAACTAAGCTTTGTAAGTGAAAGAGAAATAAAATCCTTTACAGACAAGCAAATGCTGAGAGATTTTGTCACCACCAGGCCTGCCCTAAAAGAGTTCCTGAAGGAAGCACTAAACATGGAAAGGAACAACTGGTACCAGCCACTGCAAAAACATGCCAAATTGTAAAGACCATCGATGCTAGGAAGAAACTGCATCAACTAATGAGCAAAATAACCAGCTAACATCATAATGACAGGATCAAATTCACACATAACAAAATTAACCTTAAATGTAAATGGGCTAAATGCTCCAATTAAAAGACACAGACTGGCAAATTGGATAAAGAGTCAAGACCCATCAGTGTGCTGTATTCAGGAAACCCATCTCACATGCAGAGACACACATAGGCTCAAAATAAAGGGACGGAGGAAGATCTACCAAGCAAATAGAAAACAAAAAAAGGCAGGGGTTGCAATCCTAGTCTCAGATAAAACAGACTTTAAACCAACAAAGATCAAAAGAGACAAAGAAGGCCATTACATAATGGTAAAGGGATCAATTCAACAAGAGCTAACTATCCTAAATATATATGCACCTAATACAGGATCGCCCAGATTCATAAAGCAAGTCCTTAGAGACCTACAAAGAGACTTAGACTCCCACACAATAATAATGGGAGACTTTAACACCCCACTGTCAACATTAGACAGATCAATGAGACAGAAAGTTAACAAGGATATGCAGGAATTGAACTGAGCTCTGCACCAAGTGGACCTAATAGACATCTATAGAACTCTCCACGCCAAATCAACAGAACATACATTCTTCTCCACACCACACCCGCACCTATTCCAAAATTGACCACATAGTTGGAAGTAAAGCACTCCTCAGCAAATGTAAAAGAACAGAAATTATAATAAACTGTCTCTCAGACCATAGTGAAATCAAACTAGAACTCAGGATTAAGAAACTCACTCAAAACCACTCAACTAATGGAAACTGAACAACCTGCTCCTGAATGACTACTGGGTATATAACAAAATGAAGGCAGAAATAAAGATGTTCTTTGAAACCAACGAGAACAAAGACACAACATACCAGAATCTCTGGGACACATTTAAAGCGGTGTGTAGAGGGAAATTTATAGCACTAAATGCCCACAAGAGAAAGCAGGAAAGATCTAAAATTGACACCCTAACATCACAATTAAAAGAACTAGAGAAGCAAGAGCAAACACATTCAAAAGCTAGCAGAAGCCAAGAAATAACTAAGATCAGAGCAGAACTGAAGTAGATAGAGACACAAAAAACCCTTCAAAAAATCAGTTAATCCAGGAGCTGGTTTTTTTTTTGAAAAGATCAACAAAATTGATAGACCGCTAGCAAGACTAATAAAGAAGAAAAGAGAGAAGAATCAAATAGATGCAATAAAAAATGATAAAGGGGATATCACCACCGATCCCACAGAAATACAAACGACCATCAGAGACTACTATAAACACCTCTACACAAATAAACTAGAAAATCTAGAAGAAATTGATAAATTACTCGACACACACATTCTCCCAAGACTAAACCAGGATGAAGTTGAATCTCTTAATAGACCAATAACAGGCTCTGAAATTGAGGCAATAATTAATAGCTTACCAACCAAAAAAAGTCCAGGACTGGACAGATTCACAGCCAAATTCTACCAGAGGTACAAGGAGGAGCTGGTACCATTCCTTCTGAAACTATTCCAATCAATACAAAAAGAGGGAATCCTCCCTAACTCATTTTATGAGGCCAGCATCATCCTGATACCAAAGCCTGGCAGAGACACAACAAAAAAAGAGAATTTTAGACCAATATCCCTGATGAACACTGATGCAAAAATCCTCAATAAAATACTGGCAAACTGAATCCAGCAGCACATCAAAAAGCTTATCCATGATCAAATGGGCTTCATCCCTGGGATGCAAGGCTGGTTCAACATACGCAAATCAATAAACGTAATCCAGCATATAAACAGAACCAAAGACAAAAACCACATGATTATCTCAATAGATGCAGAAAAGGCCTTTGACAAAATTCAACAGCCTTTCATGCTAAAAACTCTCAATAAATTAGGTATTGATGGGATGTATCTAAAAATAATAACAGCTATTTATGACAAACCCACAGCCAATATCATACTGAATGGGCAAAAACTGGAAGCATTCCCTTTGAAAACTGGCACAAGACAGGGATGCCCTCTCTCACCACTCCTATTCAACATAGTGTTGGAAGTTCTGGCCAGGGAAATCAGGCAGGAGAAAGAAATAAAGGGTATTCAATTAGGAAAAGAGGAAGTCAAATTGTCCCTGTTTGCAGATGACATGATTGTATATTTAGAAAACCCCATCATCTCAGCCCAAAATCTCCTTAAGCTGATAAGCAACTTCAGCAAAGTCTCAGGATACAAAATCAATGTGCAAAAATCACAAGCATTCTTATACACCAAAAACACACAAACAAAGAGCCAAATCATGAGTGAACTCCCATTCACAATTGCTTCAAAGAGAATAAAATACCTAGGAATCCAACTTACAAGGGATGTGAAGGACCTCTTCAAGGAGAACTACAAACCACTGCTCAATGAAATAAAAGAGGATACAAACAAATGGAAGAACATTCCATGCTCATGGGTAGGAAGAATCAATATGGTGAAAATGACCATACTGCCCAAGGTAATTTATAGATTCAGTGCCATCCCCATGAAGCTACCAATGACTTTCTTCACAGAATTGGAAAAAACTACAGTTCATATGGAACCAAAAAAGAGCCTGCATTGCCAGGTCAATCCTAAGCCAAAGAACATAGCTGGAGGCATCACGCTACCTGACTTCAAACTATACTACAAGGCTACAGTAACCAAAACAGCATGGTACTGGTACCAAACAGAGATATAGACCAATGGAACAGAACAGAGCCCTCAGAAATAATGCCACACATCTACAACTATCTGATCTTTGACAAACCTGACAAAAACAAGAAATGGGGAAAGTATTCCCTATTTAACAAACGGTGCTGGGAAAACTGGCTAGCCATATGTAGAAAGCTGAAACTGGATCCTTTCCTTACACATTATACAAAAGTTAATTCAAGATGGATTAAAGACTTAAATGTTAGACCTAGAAGAAAACCTAGAAGAAAACCTAGGCAATACCATTCAGGACATAGGCATGGGCAAGGACGTCATGGCTAAAACACCAAAAACAATGGCAACAAAAGCCAAAATTGACAAATGGGATCTAATTAAACTAAAGAGCTTCTGCACAGCAAAAGAAACTACCATCAGAGTGAACAGGCAACCTACAGAATGGGAGAAAATTTTTGCAATCTACTCATCTGACAAAGGGCTGATACCCAGAATCTACAAAGAACTCAAACAAATTTGCAAGAAAAAAACAACCCCATCAACAAGTGGGCAAAGCATATGAACAGACACTTCTCAAAAGAAGACATTTATGCAGCCAACAGACACATGAAAAACTGCTCATCATCACTGGCCATCAGAGAAATGCAAATCAAAACCACAATGAGATATCATCTCTCACCAGTTAAAATGGCGATCATTAAATGCTCAGGAAACAACAGGTGCTGGAGAGGATGTAGAGAGATAGCAACACTTTTACACTGTTAATGGGACTGTAAACTAGTTCAGCCATTGTGGAAGACAGTGTGGCAATTCCTCAGAAATCTAGAACTGGAAATACCATTTGACCCAGCCATCCCATTACTGGGTATATACCCAAAGGAATATAAATCATGCTGCTATAAAGACACACGCACACTTGTGTTTATTGCGGCACTACTCACAATAGCAAAGACTTGGAACCAACCCTAATGTCCAACAATGATAGACTGGATTAAGGAAATATGACACATATACACCATGGAATACTATGCGGCCATAAAAAATGATGAGTTCATGTCCTTTGTAGGGACATGGATGAAGCTGGAAACCATCATTCTCAGCAAACTATCACAAGGACAGAAAACCAAACACTGTATGTTCTCACTCATAGGTGGGATTGAACAATGAGAACACATGGACACAGGAAGGGGAACATCACACACTGGGGCCTGTTGTGGGGTGGGGGGAGGGGGGAGGGATAGCATTAGGAGATATACCTAATGTAAATGACGAGTAATGGATGCAGCACACCAACATGGTACATGTATACATATGTAACAAACCTGCACGTTGTGCACATGTACCCTAGAGCTTAAAGTATAATAAAAAATATATATATTAAAAAAAAGAAAGAGCATCTTTTTCTTTACATATCTATGTAGTCCAGGTCTTCCTGGAATTCCTGGTTGTGACAATCCTAGCAAGGTTCTTTCCATCAGTTTCAGGGCAGTTTGCTGCCTGTATCCTTTGCAGCTGTTCAGCTTCACCAGTTTTGGTAACTGTGGCAAAGGCAATGCTTTGTTCACTAAAATACTTTAGTTTTCCATTGGGCAGTTGACAAGATGATATTTCTCATCATGAAGACATGATGTCTCATGTTTTCATGGAGGCAAGTGAGTGTTGCTGGCCAGTAAGGCATGGGCAAGAGGGGTGTGCGCCCCCTTCTCTCTGCTTCCATAGTGGCCTTGGGGTTTCTGTGTTGAAGATGCTGACCCTTCAAGGAGGAAGCTTACATTCTTGAATCACCTCTTGGAAAAGAGCAACTGTGTGGAGCTGCCCAGCCAGGAATATCTGTGTTGTCATTTATACTTGGGAGCTGTTTGCCGCAGAAGCCAGCTGACAGTTGCTCTGAAAGGTAGTGCCACTCCTGTGCCCTAGTGGGACTGAAACGCTCCCGGGTTCTACGTGGGCATCGCCGGTGGCCTCTGAGGGTGGGCTGTGCAGTCGTGGAGATGCATTTTAAAGGGTTTAATGCATCAGGGAGCTTCTTTCGGTCAAAAGATAGACTGCAGGTGATCTCTTCTCTGCCAGTGCCTCCTTGGGATTGGGGTAAAAACTCCTCCATCTTCCCATCCTCATGAAAGCAACCACAATTTACAGCTGCGTTTATGTGTGCTTATGCTGCCAGGCACAATTTCTCTAATTCTCAACAATTTCATGAGGTAGAGACAATTGTTATTCTAATTTTGCAAATGAGGACATTAAGGCTGCAGCACCCGTGAGTCATGGAGCTCAGTTCCACATCACTTAGAGGCGCATGTCCAAACTACATGGTCCTGTAGCTCCTAAAAGGATGTGGTTTTGCACATTTAATTCTTCACTTATCCCATAGCACATCTTCATGTTAACATCAATGGGTTAAAACACAAAACATATTTCAAGAAGAAATTGTCACACTGTAAAATTTTATTAGTATAGCTAAGACTGACATTTTCTACATAAAGCAAAGGATTTATCAAATAAGTTGTCCGATATGGTTTGGTCTGTGTTCCTGCCCAAATCTCATGTTGAAATGTCATCCCCAGTGTTGGAGGAGGGGCCTGGGTGGAGGTGATGGGATCATGGGTGGATTCTCAGGTAGTATCTGGCACCACCCCCTCGTTGCTGTTCTCAGGATGGTGAATTCTTATGAGATCTGATTGTTTAAAAGTCTATGGCTTTCTTTTCATATGTCCTTTGGCTGCATGAATGTCTTCTTTTGAGAAGTGTCTGTTCATATCCTTCACCCACTTTTTGATGGGGTTGTTTTTTTCTTGTAAATTTAAGTTCTTTGTAGATTCTGGATATTAGCCCTTTGTCAGATGGCTAGATTGCAAAAATTTTCTCCCATTATGTAGGTTGCCTGTTCACTCTGATGATAGTTTCTTTTGCTGTGCAGAAGCTCTTTAATCAGATCCCATTTGTCAATTCTGGCTTTAATTGCCATTGCTTTTGGTGTTTTAGTCACGAAGTCTTTGCCCATGCCTATGTCCTGAATGGTATTACCTTGATGGGTGCAGCAAACCACCATGGCACGTGTATACCTATATAACAAACCTGCACGTTCAGCACATGTGCCCCAGAAATCAGAAATTAAAGTGCATATATATAGTCTATGGCACCTCCTCTCACTTTGTTTTCTCTTGCTCCTGCCCCCACCATGTGAGACACCTGCTTACCCTCTGCCTTCCCCCAGGATTGGAAGCTTCCTGAGGCCTCCATAGAAGCAGATGCCACCATGCTTCCTAAACAGCCTGCAGAACTGTGAGCCAGTTAAGCCTATTTTCTTATAAATTACTCAGTCTCAGGTATTTCTTTATAGCAATGCAAGAACAGCCTAATGCATTCTCTCTTCTGGATATGTTTATTTTTTCCAGATGAGACCTATCCTTATGGAAACATCTAGCCCATTGAATGAGCCTGTTCTAACTCAGCTGGGGGCTGTGATTGTGTCACTTCAGTTTTTAGGTAAATTGCTGAAAACTGGGGAGTGTAAAACTGGAACAATTTATTTACTATTTTCTTTTCATCATGAGTTTCCATATCAAGAGAGACATTCTGTTAGTAACAAATGCTTCAAATATAGAATTTTTTTTTAGAATATAATGATGAACATGACCATTTGTTTTACTCTAACATTATATGGCTATCTTAAGGAAATTATAAAATAGACTTTTTTTTTTTTTTTTTTTGAGACAGAGTCTCGCTCTGTCGCCCAGGCTGGAGTGCAGTAAAGTGATCTCGGCTCACTCCAAGCTCTGCCTCCCGGGTTCATGCCATTCTCCTGCCTCAGCCTCCCGAGTAGCTGGGACTACAGGCGCCCGCCACCACGCCCTGCTAATTTTTTGTATTTTTAGTAGAGACGGGGTTTCACCGTATTAGCCAGGATGGTCTTGATCTCCTGACCTCATGATCCGCCCACCTCGGCCTCCCAAAGTGCTGGGATTACAGGCGTGAGCCACCGCACCTGGCCAATAAATTAGATTTTCATGGGAAAAATTGTGTTTCAGGGTTATCAAATAAAATAAGGAACAAATAGATTTTCTACGTAATCTTTTTTAAAGTCACATTTGACATATTTTCAGAGTCAGTGTAGTAATGAGACATTTAATGCCATTTATCACCAAACTGTGAACTATACTGCTCTTAAAACTCTCGACTCTCAGTACTTGGATCTTGGAAAATGTGATGTCTACAGGACACATGCCTGCCCCTAAATTTCTCAAAGATTTTGTTATGCCTGGTATTTTCATTTTTAAAGTTATTTCTTTAGGTTGAGTTAAGAAAGTCCAAAGATTCTTTACTAAATGAAAAAATACTGACAGAAACATTATGATATTAAATAATATTATGACATGTGTGAACAGCCGTGTCCTGCCAGGAGGAGGGAGCCTGGAAAACCCTTGTGTTTAGTCCCCACACAGGGAAAGTGCCAGGGAAGATGGAAGGCTGTGAGCTATACCGACGCCCTGGTTTACAAGAAGGCCCGAGATTATTGAAGCACATCTGCGTAAGGAGACATCACCCACAGGAGCTGAGAGGTGTCTGGAGGGCCCCAGAGCCGAGGGGCTTATGGTGAACCCCTCTGCATTCCACGGCTCCCTTCTGAATTCCAAGGTGCCTCGTGATCAGCCTGGCTTGATCTACCGCCTGTTTAGGGATTGCTCCAGCCCTGGACAAGCCCTGGGCTGAATGTCACATATGGCAAGAGGGCTCATTCCTACCAAGATCAGAGCTCACTCACTCTTATGTTCAATCTCCTTGCCTTCACTCATTTTTTTGAGACAGATTCTCACCCTGTCACCCAGACTGGAGTGCAGTGGCGCGACCTCGGCTCACTGCAACCTCCGCCTCCTGGGTTCAAGCGATTCTCCTGCCTCAGTTTCCTGAGTAGCTGGGACTACATGCGTGCGCCACCACACCTGGCTAATTTTTATATTTTGAGTAGAGACTGGGTTTCGACATGTTGGCCAGGCTGATCTTGAGCTCCTGACCTTAGGTGATCCACCTGCCTCAGCCTCCCAGAGTTCTGGGGCCTTCACTCTTTAAATGAAATAAAACAAATCTAAGTTTATTTGGCTTATCACAGACATTTCAGATTTCCAAAGTCAATGCCAAGTGCTGGAACTGATCCACTCAATGGTGTGCACCTCGCCAGGGTTCAGTGAGCCGCCTTTGAGAGGAGCAGAACAACTTCCGCCTAGTTTCCCCAGAACAGGGGGAGGCAGAATCCAATCAGAGCCCTCTGCCAAATGGGTTTAACATCTCTCGGACCTTCTGAAACTGCAGCTTCACCCTACAGCAGCTCAGGCACGAACCCCCCGCCAGGTGCACACAGCATCTGCCGGGTGCACGGCATTCCCACAGATCTCTCTTCTCCCACTGTCACACCAGCACGGGCCACATGGACAGGAACAGGGCCTCCCAGGGAGAGCAGCACGGAGTCACAGTCGCCCTGGAGGCAGGTGCTCCAGCCCTGGCCGAGCCTGGGCAACCCTGGAGAGATCCCACATTTGACGCTTTCTCAGACACCTGACTCACAGCCCCCAGGACAGGTGGCAAATGATCCTGTGCCATCAGCCGCTAAGCATGGGCTGTGTGCTCTGAGCCATCGGTAACAGGCACATTTGAAGGGGCAGTGAATGTTTCAGGCCATGGGGCTCCATCACCTCTGCTCAGCACCACAGCCCTGGGAAAAAGCAGCTCCTGACTGTGGCCAGAGAAGGCCCTGCACTCCCGTGAGGCTGGGCTTGCAGAAACTGGAGAGGGAACCAGGGTTGGCCCATGGGCTGTAGTTAGCTGGCCCCGCTCTCCAGCAACGTAAGGGCACTTGCCAATTAAAAATATAAACAGGCAGTGTATTAGTCCATTTTCATGCTGATAAAGACATACCTGAGACTGGGTAATTTAAAAAGAAAAAGAGGTTTAACGAACTCACAGTTCCACATGGCAGGGGAGACCTCACAATCACTGAGGAAGGTGAAAGCCGTGTCTTAAATGGCCACAGACAAGCGACAATGAGAACCAAGCAAACGGGGTTTCCCTGATAAAACCATCAGATCTTGTGAGACTTATTAACTGCTATGAGAACAGTATCGGGGAAACCACCCCATGATTCAATTATCTCCCACCAGGTCCCTCCCACCACAAGTGGAAATTATGGGAGCTACAATTCAAGATGAGATTTGGGTGGGGACACAGTGAAACCATGTCAGGCAACCACTCAAGCTCTTCATACTCTGAGTCTGGAGCTGGGGGTGAAGTCGAGAATGAGGAAGCACATCCTGGGTGAAGATCCACTAGCAGACATAGCACCAGGTACAGAGGGGCGGCTGCAGCTCACCCTGCCAGCCGCTGGCCTGCATTTCCCCACCTGTGCTAACTCTCCCAGCGTGACTCACCCAGGGCCAGGAGAACCTGTGAGGACAAGACCGACATGAATTTGGTGGGTTCTGAGGACACAGGATCCGAAAGCAGCCAGGCAGGGCAGACTCACAGCCTGGTCCCTGGGTCCTGCCCTTGTCCTTCAAAGACTCTGTCTGGGTTCATTTTGAGCTCTTGTGAAGGTGCAGAAAATTCCTCTCCATAAACAGAGAAGCCTGGCTCCTCACTTCTGCTTCTGAGCCACGGCGAGGTAAGGGTTTCCTGAGAGCACAGAAATCTCCAGAATCTCCTCGAGGCTAACTTTTGAAAATGCCTTTCATAAAACTGTGACAGCAATCACAAAAGGGCCATGGCTCCCTGTATTATCCTTGTAGGGCTTTTGAAATCTACCAGAATAATCCGTGAGAGAAAGACCGTATTCCAATGCATACGACTTTCTTCTGTGTAAGTCAAGCTGAAAAATAACCAGAGGTGCTGATCTAAAGGCAGCAGGAAGACTGGTTTACCCGAAGGACACACTGTGGAGCTTCTTTCTGCTTTGCATTTACTTTGAATTCCAGTTTTAAAGGAACAGTTTATTAAGGGAGAAAACATTTTTATCACAAAAATTAAATATTATTTAAGTGGCCGAGCTCTGACTCTGGTGTAAATTCACCAGTGGGAGCCAATAAAATATACATCCTTTTCCCTAGCCAAATTCCATATTATCTATTTTGTCTTTGCCAAATATAAAGTAATTTTTAAGTAAAGCCCTGACCAAAAGCTGTCTTCACTGGTTTTTAATATCATTGTTATCCTGCCAGTGCCCTTGGGAATTTTACTTTTTTTAGATATATGAATTTGGTCTTCCTTTCACTACCAGAATTATTTACATTTGTTTAGCTTTTAAAACAACATCATTCTGTTGTTTTACTTTTTGTTAAAGAATATTACTTTTTGTTTGAGAATATCACTTTTTGTTAAGTGTCTTTACTTTTCTTTCACAGGAGAAAGGGGTGGTGTGAAGGGTGCTCGGTCATGGGTCTGGGAGGTGGAGGGTGAATCTCCTGCCCTGCCTCATCCGTGTGGACTGGACTGGGGGTGCTGTTCAGACCAGGCTCTCTCCTCCACTATCAGCACTGCCCTGGGCACCATCAGGAACAGCCTCAGCCCCACGCTGGTGCTCCCGCGAATGCCCCGTGTAATCACCACGGGTGATGTTGAGACCACGCCTCACTTCAGAAGGCTCATCATAACAAGCAAAAATGTCACTTTGGATCAATGGCTAAGTGGAAATTGAATCTCTATGAATACTACAAAATAGTTTCTTCATAACGTATTTAACAAATCAAAGAAACTTTTAGGAACCTCCCTAAACCATTGTTTAAAAGAGCAAAATGTCTGGTCAATCCAGTTCACATCAACGCATGTGGGAGCTTTCACTGGAAAGGAATAAAGACAGAGGAGACACTCTGAGTCTCAGTTTCAGAGCGAGACATTTGCATGGCCCTGGTTCCTGGGGCAGGCAGTGCAGTGATGGCGGGTTTTATACCCATTAGCTCTACAATGGATAATTTGGATTTACGAAGAAAATACTGAGATTGCTAACTCCTCGGAGGAACAGATGGTGCCGCGCTCATCTTTATTTACAGGAATTACCACGATGCACGTGCTGGGTGTCCCATGTCCAGCAAACGCAGCCTGCAGCAGCTGGGCTGCAGGTGTGGGGCGTGGCACCCTGAAGAGGAACCCGTTGTGCTGGATGAAGCACTGTCATTCCCTCATGCATAGCATTAGAGAAACGTTCGTTGTGCGTGACTAGAAAAATCCTCCTGTCTTCCCACCTCTGGTGTCTCAAACAAAGGAATCAGAGATTCGCAGTGAGGAGGTGGCTTCCCCAAAAACCAGAACTAGAGTTTAGAATCAGAGGCCTGAGCAATGCCTGCAGGGTTGGAAATGAGGGTGCTCAGGACATGTTTCATAAGGACGATGTAGACACGGTGAAGGAAACACACTCTCAAGACCCCAAACTCACGATGCCACAGGGAAGGTTAAGCTTGGGACCCGCGTCACACAAAACTGCCTCCCTTTTATTCCCAAACAGGCAGCTGTGATTTCCAGGGCTTACCTTATCGTGTGTAAAACGTGGATTCACTAGCGCTAATCAGAGGCCCACGAGATTGCGGCCACATGCCTGACTGTGCCCCACTGCCTGCCCTCCCTCTTTTTCCTTCTCCCCTCCTGCTCGCTCTTTCCCCTTTAAAGTTCCCAAAACCCTCTTTGGAAAAGGCTCGGGTCACAGGTCCCACTGGGACTTGTGTTTGTTTTTTCCGGGCACATTCTCAATCTTAGCAACATAAACTTCTAATTGACTGAGATCTGCTTCGGTCACTTTTTGGCTTACAATACTGTAAACCAAAATAAATCCTCCCTTTCACGACCAAGGTGAGTTTCCCAGTTCACCAGTTTCCTATGCCAGTGTAGGTCTGAGTCGAGCCCATCTCTCCTATCGTCTGCCTAACCAATATGATTTTTCAGCCCTAAGCAATGCGTGGTCAAAGTAATTTAATGCAATTTTCTTCATGCTTTTTTTCCCTTTTTAAATTTTAAAAACTTAAAAAAAAATTAAAAACTCTTTAATCAACATTTTCAGTTTTTCTATTCTTAAATATCTGTTGAAAAGGTATATCTATGGTCGGGTGCAGTGGTTCATGCCTGTAATCCCAACACTTTGGGAGGCCAAGGTGGGTAGATGACGAGTTCAGGAGATCGAGACCATCCTGGCTAACACAGTGAAACCCCGTCTCTACTAAAAATACAAAAAAAATTTAGCTGGGCGTGGTGGCGGGTGCCTGTAGTCCCAGCTACTTGGGAGGTTGAGGCAGGAGAATCGCCTGAACCAGGAGGCGGAGGGTACAGTGGGCCGAGATCGAGCCATTGCACTCCAGCCTGGGTGACAGAGCAAGACGTCATCTCAGTAAAAAAAAAAAAAAAAAGAAAGAAAGAAAGAAAAGATTTCTCTATAAATTACAGGGCTCATGTTTTCTGGTGTGATGTTCTTTTCAAATAAATCCTCATTAACATTTTTGCAGAAATGGTTTCAAATTTTGTCAGTTAAAACTTAGAACCCGAAAGGGGCAAACACATGCTTGTCCTGGAAAGAAGAAATTAAACACAGTGACCACGGTTTCTATGACTTATTAAGTTTGTAACACAGCTGGGAAACTCATTATCCCTGTGTGTATGACAACAAAAGATTAACTTGCTCAAAAATTCAGCCCGTTCAGTAAAAAGGAAAAGGAAAACACAGAGATCCTACCAGGTGGACGGTGGGTAGTGGGCCGCCAAGGTGCTGACTGACGGAGCCCTTTCTGAGTGAAGGGCCCGGTGTCTCACGGTGAGGCTGGGGTCAAGGAAGGATTCCGGCACCGACTGAAGGCAGGGTCTGAGCTGGGTGCGTGTTTCCAGCCCATTGCCTTCAATCCTTGTAGCAACAATCATTGCATTTCCAGCAGGCTGGGTAAAAAAGATTTCCATCTGAATTATCTTTCCTTATAACCTCGTGAAGAGGAGACCATGGCTGAGGGCTTCATCCAGAGGGAAGTGGCCACAGAGGTGAACTGCAGACTTGGCCGCCGTGACCATCTCTCTTGTTTGTTTCTGAGTGTGCAAGGCGTTTCTCCAGGATTTCCCCTCAATTTAAGGGAGGCGAGTGCAGGTTTTGTCTGTTTGCTCACGCGGCCTTTCCAGCTCTCGGATACTTGTTGGCCGGGGGCAAGTCTTCCTCTCATGGCCCAGATGGAAGTCATTGTGAAGTAGGTCCCTTTTCCCCGCCCACCATGGAATCAGCCACGGGGCTGATCTGAGATGCCAGCTGGGGAGAAAACTACGGTTCTGCTGGGAATTCTCAACGTGATTCACCTGTGTGTCCTCAGTGTGAACCACTGGCTGATGCAGGGAGAGCGGAGAGACTGTGGGAGGGGCGGCAGTGGACTTGTTTTCCCATGAGGCTTATTTCAGACGGCTTTTAAATACCGTTCTTCTTCCCAACGGACACAGCACTTTTAGATCTGCCATGGGGCAAGAACTGCTGTTTACAACACTCAGCATGTTAGTTCTGAAACTGAAATGGCCCATCAAGATAGGTTTCAGGTAGCAGCTTATCTTTTACAATATCATCTACAGTTGGCTTAAGTATTTTGAAGCTACATATATTCATCTTAAAACTGTTTCAACTTTTTCTTCACCACAAACAACTGTATTTTAGTTTGCGTATTGTAATACCTCTGGGCCTGGAGCTTGGACTGTCCATGGACCTTTGAAGTTAAAGGCATAGGAAAAGATGCTGAGGCTGTGCCCTGGATGGGGGATCATTCCCACAATGGTAAAACTGCCACCCACACTTTCCTGTGTTTGAGTTTTCTGTGACATTTCATTATTATATACCCTGCACAAAGTAGGTATTCATCTATCTGTGCTTTTAAAAAGATTGTCCTGTTGGAAAAGATTTGGGGTAACCTGAATTTCGAAGAGTCATGTAGTCCGTCTTATGCTACGTCCCACCCAGACTCACACAGTTTCACAGAGAAAAAAATGACATAGTAGAGATAGTGTGTAGGATACATGTATAAGGTCAGTTATATTTATTCTATCCCGTGTTTATACCCAAACTCCCATATGTACACTCTATTAATAGTGAGAAAGAGTATTGACTCTGAGTTTTAAGATTAAAAACACAAAAAACCCATTATAATATAATCCAGTTTATGGAAATTCTGCTAAGGTGGCAAAATTACTGTGCACTTTGTACAGATTGTCCAGAGGGGTGTACAGCAGGATAGCTTCCTACCTGCTCTATGAAAACCCTAGTTCCTGACATGTGCTGTGGAGTTGTGTTTTAAAGGAAGCACCTGATACAAAACTGACCACCTGTTGGGAACCAGTGTGTCAGTGTCCTTCTTGAAACATGGCTCCCAGAACAAAAGTCCACGTTTCCTGTGTGAACTGACCGGTTCTGGGTGCATGGCGAGGGGCAAGCCATTGTCTGCCCATCTTCCTTCACGGTGAGCACCAGAATGACATCGGCGTTTTCAGCAGCTATGTGCCATGGCTTATCCCAGCCTGTGAGCTGCCCATCCATCCAAGGTGCCCATCCACCCAAGCTGCCCATCCACCCAAGCTGCCCATCCACCCAAGCTGCCCATCCATCCAAGCTGCCCATCCACCCAAGGCCGTGGCTGCAGCACCTGTCACAGTGCCTGGTCCCCGGGTTAATGCTCTACAAATACTTGTTGAATGGATCAAAAACACTTTCACCTAAATGTTCCACATGCTTCTCCCAACAGCTACTGTTTGGGAGACCGGGCTCCCCTTGAATCTTTTCTTTTTTAAAATTCAATGATAGTACTTTCTTCTCTAAAACATCGATTGTGTTAGTTTATCCCAGGGTTTTAACCTGTTAAGGGCTTTACAAAGTGTTAATTTTGTACTTCAGCATATGCCGCCTCTGGGTCTCTGACTTAGCCATGCTCCTGACGATGTGCCAGGCATGTCTTCATTTTCCACCGTAACCTGCATTTTCTGTGTGTACTTCTCCAGCTTGCTGATAGGGAGTGCTTGCAAGCGCTTCACTGAAATGAGGAACTTATGTTTCTAAGCCCGCGTCTATCGGGGCCTTTTTCACAGATAGAAAGTGCTTTTCCTTAGGGAAATGGTGCTGCCTGTGAATGCTTCCTGCTGCTTTTCTAGCGTGTGTGCACAGATTCCATTCATAACTTCAGGAGGCACCTGGTTGCATGGATAAGGACACCCTTAGAGATGGCAGGCACCGGCTCAAATCTCAAAACCCACTTTTCCTGGTTTGCTGAGAACTTCCTCCCAGATTTCTCACCTGATGCCCATAATGAGGTTGTGAGGGGGTGAAGAACAGGGATTGTGACTTTTTCTATTCCATATATGAGCAAAAGAGTTAAACATGGTAAATTCTTCACACGGGTTTAAACTTGCTTGTGGTCACCTCAGAAAGGACACAGAGTTCTCCCAACTCCTAAGCCAACAGTCTTCCAAGCCTTGGCTCCTCTGGTTTTGACAGCCAGTGTGCTGACAACTGTATTTAAAAGTCAGGTCGGAAACCTGTGGGGATTGTGGGCATCGGGGGAGGGGTTATGTACCCTCCACCTGTCTATCTCTTGTCCCAAACACTGAAAGCAGCAAACCAGAACAACATGGAAATGTTCTCCATCTTATATCTGTTTTGAAAAATCCTGTCCTAAGTTTTATCTGTCTGAATGGACAATAATCAAATGGTCCCTCCACCAGCAAGGGCAGGGCAGGATTCGTGGTTATACATTTATGAGAAGCTGTCAGCAAATCAGAAGAGCTGAACATCAGTTCCCAAGAACTATGGGCCCGGAGGGGTAAACTAGCTTTCCGGCTAACTGCCGTGATTCCTCTGGCACTGCTGTGATACGCAGGGAGTCCTGGAGGAAGAAAACAGTCAAGAAACACATGAAAATAGGCTGAGAACGCAAACAACGGGTCATGGGCGGTATCAGTGATTGGACGATTGTTACAAGGCATTTGCTGATCGCTGTCTCATATTCAAACACACCGAGTTCAACTTAATACTGAAAGTAAGATTTGGAGAAACTTGTTTATATGCTGAGAATGTTTTATTTTTCTGTAATCAAATTTATTTAGTTAGAGCTTTTTTCCTTTGAAAACTAAAATGTTCTTGAAGTTCACTAAAATTCAGACCATAAAATGAGAAAAATAAAGTTCACGAGTCATTTAAAAATATGGTTCCTAATGTTCAGAACTACTTGCTGTAAGTCTCATTCTCAATAAAACTGGACCTCATTGTGTAAACTGTCTTCTGTCACAAACCACTGCTAGGTTAATTTCTATCTCTTTTCCACAGAGGCTATCCTTCTGCAGAATAATCTCTGGGCTTTGCAAATCCAGTTCTGCTCTTGAAAGATCTGTTTGTACCCTGTGGCTGGAGACTCTAACTTTGAGCTGCAATTGTGTCTCCCCTGATCTTCTCTAGAGGTTTCGTTGCTTTTCCTCCTGCCAGAGTTTAGTCATTTTTCCTGGCTCAGCGTTGTGAAAACCCCACATGCTTTGTATGAGCAGAGCCTGTATTCAAGACACACACCCGAGTTAAAGACATACTTGGTGCGTGGTTCTCCATTGAAAAAAAAAGACCTGATGTTTGTAATTTCATTTCCTTGCCTTTTGGGATTCTGAGCATTTTCCAGTCCTCCTTCTAAAAGATGTAAAGAAAACTTCTGGATGAATATTCATACAGCAACATCACTAATGAGAATTATCTATTCAGAATACTATCCTGTCAAATGCCCACATATTGGAAATCAAATCAGTTTCAACAATGTTTTCTGTTTTTAGTGTTCAAATGGGATATGGAATGCACAGACATGGAGCAGAAGGAAAATGGATCCATGCTTGTAAGATAATGGCTACTGTTTTCTAAGGAGGGGCAAAGACATAAATCCGCCCCCCCAGGAAGACTCCCCAGGTCGGCGTGGCTGCTGTGGGTTCTGAGGGTCCCCTGCTTAGTGAGGGAGTCGGGCCCTGTGTGTGAGGACTCCTGGTGTGAGGAGGCCCAGGTGTGAGGACTCCCGGGCGGGCGGCAGAAGGCCTGGGCTCCTGGCCAGCTCCAGGGCTGTAGACACCTTGTTGGGCCCCTTGACCCTCTGCTTCTGTACCTGGAAATGGGAGCCGAAGGGCCGGAGCCTGCACCCCAGGAGAGGTGGTGAGCTGGTGACTTCATAGATGTTAGCGATGGAGATCTGCAGGTGACCCCATTACCTTTTGATTAAAACCCAAAGCTAAGGAGATCTTAGAATCAACTGCGTGTCTCAAATAAAAATAAAACAATTTCTGACCTGGGCCCCCCTAGCAAGGGCCTGGTCAAAGGAGATACTGAGGCCACTTGAGGAGTCTCGGTTTTAAAGGGGTGCAATCAGGAAGGGCTGCCTCCCCCATGGGCTGGGTGTAATCAATCATGAAGGACTGTCTCCCCGATGGGCCAGGTGCCATCAGTCATGAAGGACTGTCTCCCCCATGGGCCAGGTGCCATCATGACGGGCCATCTCCCTGATGCACTGCCAGGAACAGGGAGGCTGGTGCCCAGCTTGTGGCCTCACTGCCCAGCCTGGGCTTCTTTACAGCCTTGTACGTGGCCACCCACAGGGATCCAGCTGATGTGAAGGGGAAGGCCTGTGGGAATGGGGTCATTTGTCTCATTTTTACAAAAAAATAATTTTACTGTTTTTAAATTTTAAAAAATAGTGCATTTTTTGGAAAGAATTGTATATCCATACAAATATAAAAATAAACTTTAGTATCAAATCTTCCTGGGAAAATCTTATTTTTTTCATTATTATATAGTAAAGGTTTATTTTCTAAAATTATTTTTTTACAAAAACAAAAATCTTCCCAGTTTCTTCCCTCCTTGGTGCAGAAGAACACGTTCTATTTTTGGGCGGGTTTAGGCTTTTTGGCAAAAGGGAAGAAAATGAGTGTCTGTTCATTTTGCAGATCAAAATATCCACACTGGAAGGCGAACTGGTGAAAGGAAAATTTCTACCTTTACCTTTTTTGGGTTTTATATATTTTGTACAATTCTAACTCCTATTGCTATTAGTATTAATAGGAAGTTTGAATTAAAGCCAGAGAATGAACACCGAGACAGAAAAATACTGTCTGACGCCCCAAGAACAACATTCATGGGGCAGAATATTATTTTAAATTCACTTGAAATACTCTGCTCCCTACTGGAGTCTTCCACAGAAGCCATCAAAACGTCATAGCACATGCAATATTTATTATATAGAGATGTACCTCTTCTAAAAAGGATATACTTTCAAACACATAAAACTATTGGTTGTAAATATTTGGTATATTAAAATATTTCCCTCCTCCTAATGTCAGATAGACAAGGGGCGGGTGCAATGTGGGGAGCTATGGATTTTTGCTGAGATCTTCATCACCTCATGAAATGGAACATGGAACCTTTAGCATCTGCACTTTTTTTTTTTTTTTTTTTTTTGAGACAGAGTCTTGCTCTGTTGCCCAGGCTGGAGTACAGTGGTGCAATCTCGGCTCAGTGCAATCTCCACCCTCCAGGTACAAGCAATTCTTCTGCTTCAGCCTCCTGAGTAGCTGGGATTACAGGTGTCCACCACCATGCCCAGTTAATTTTTGTATTCTTAGTACAGACAGGGTTTTGCCATGTTGGCCAGGCTGCTCTTGAACCCCTAACCTCAAGTGATCCACCCGCTTCAACTTCCCAAAGTGCTAGGATTACATGCATGAGCCACCAGGCCTGGCCCACATTTTCTTTTCAATAGAACTGCAGGAGAAGGCATCTGTTTCTTACTTTCCTATACTTATAGATTGATGGTTTTATGTTCATCCTTTATTTGAAGGTTTGTCAAGAAAGTGCCTAATCCTTATTTTTCTACCTAGAGTCTGTATCTCTAAAAAAAAAATTCAAGCAACTCCAGTCAATTGCCATTAATAACAAAAATGTAAAGTATCCCTACTCAGAAGTCATAAACAATATGAGAAACAAGGAAACTAAACTGCATGCTAATATTTGATGAATTAGGAAAATAATTAAAATTCATATTTATATATGTTATTCAAAGTATGATAAATTTATAAGCATGAAGATTGATATGTAATAAGATTATAATATTAAGTAAAGTTGATTTCCTTGCCCTACATATTTTGACCAATCCCTGTTTCTCAAATACTCCTGTCACTCTGATCCCCACTGGAGGAAAAAGGAAATGACAGCCCACTGCAAAGGAGACCCTTTCCTTCCTGAGGAGAAACGTGGCACTCGCTCAGAATTTTCGATGACATATTTTATGAAAATAAATCTGGGTTTTGCCAACGTGGGAAGTGGCATGTGCAATGCCCACATGGTTCTCATGCTGCTGGGATGCGGGCTGGGGCGTGAACTGCATCAGGTGGACTGGAGTCTGAGCCACAGACTTGTGTGGGGGACGCTGGGGCTCCTCGTTGGGGGGAGACTCATGGGAAGAGGGGACCAGGCATCCCCCATGTCAGATTTAACAAGGAGGACCCGTCTTTGGAAACTAGTGACATGTTTTATTGGTATCACAACTATAGGCTCATCATAAAACAACACAAAGTTGCAATATTCTGCAGGAAAGAATCATTTCTTACGAAAATAATTTAATTTTTCAGCACTCAACAGAAACAACCTTTAGCTGCTGTACATGTATTTTCTGGCAAGACTCTGACTGTCCATGAAGCCGGGGTCCACGGAGGCCACCTTGGCTGCTATGAAGGAGTGGATGCAGTGCAGGACAGCCCTCAGGTCCTGGAACTCGAGTTCCTGGAGGAGAAAATCAGATCAAGTGTTTATTATAATTGTTGGAAGAACACGTTACAAAAATATTTAACAAAGTTTGGACCTTGTGAACTCCAAGAAAGTCCCTCCAAAAAAATAATAATAGACAGGAAATATGTATGGTTTAAAGTAAAAGGCAGAGTAACATGATCCAAATCATGATCCAAATTGGTTATAAACATGAATATACTGGGTATTTTTTATTACAACGCTGAGAATGTAACTTACTTGTTTTCTTGCACCTAACGGGGGCTAATGCTCACTTCCTTTATTTTGCATCTTCAGTGATGGGTCTTGATTAAGTCAGACCCCGTAATCTGGGCCAGGACTCAGTCTTCCCCACCTGCCCAGCACCTGTGGTGATTTTGTGATGTGGATCCCGTCGCAGCAGACCCCTGTGCTGTGTGAGTTGGCAGAACTAGCCATTGTGTCTCAGGCCGCCGTGCCTTTTGTATGGGTGCGTGTGGGCTTCATGCCAAGGCCGCCCTTGGGAGGAACAGTGCCTGCTGTGTGGGTGCATGTGGGCTTCATGCCAAGGCCACGCTTGGGAGGAACAGCGCCTGCTGTGTGGGTGCGTGTGGGCTTCATGCCAAGGCCACGCTTGGGAGGAACAGCGCCTGCTGTGTGGCGCAGAATAGGCAGTGTGCACAGCACGGCGGGAAGCGAGGAGGGGCCTTGTTCACCCACCCTGTCCCCATGGCTACGGGAGAGCAGGAAAGGGTGCCCCAGGGAGAGTTTCCTAGAGAGACGGTTATACCCCTACCCCCTCCCAATAAAAAAACTGAAACAAACTCCTGGATCCTTACCTCCGCATGTTACAGACACTAAATGTCCTGTAAAAGCAAAAATGACCCACAAAAGGTTCATCTTCTCTCCACAAACTGCCCCACATAAAGTCCCTGTGTCAAATCAACAGAAAAGTCCACAGTGAACCCCAAAGCTGACACAGAAGTTAAAGAAACTGTTTTTAGAAGTTATTCAGTTACTGGGGAAAAATCATCTTCCTGTTTTTGATGGTAAAATACGAATCTTGCCGTCCTGCCACCCCCATTCTATCGGTAGAAAAGAAGGTCTAAGTGCATTCTTCTAATGTTGTCTTTCTTCTTTGTTTGCATAACAAAATTCAATAAAATGAAGAAAATAAAATTTCTTTTGAGGTGACTGCTAATTGATTGACATCCTATTTGCTAAATCTCACCAAAATTCTAGCATATTCTAAACTGCTGAGATGACACCAGAAAGAAAGATAAATCATTTTCAAGAAGAAGAGCAACTAAGGCCTGTCAGTTCCACAGACATGCTCCTTTAAGCTCTCGAAAGGCAGGATCTTGGTCATTTTCATTCCATGGCAGAATCAGGGGGTGGGGAATGGGGCCCCAGGCAGGATTGGAGGTCACACATCACCGGGTAAAGCCCTCCCTCCCCAATAACATCCATCTCAGCTTTTCGGAGCTGCTTTTCTTTATAACTCAAAGACGTGACATCTCAAAAATGATTTCAAACTTCCCTGACAGCATGAAGTCCCCTCGGCCTCTCCCTGGTCCTCTCTGCATGCCTTTCTTTTAGAAACTGCTTCTCTCTTGCAATAGGTACAGGACCCAGGTGGACCAGCCAGAGCCCAGTGGCAGCTTGGTACAGATGACAGGGAGAGGGAGGCCAAGATGCCTACATTGGTGTGACCAGCTGTGAGAAGTGAATACCTGAAGCGTGTTCTAATACCACTAATGCCAAGTGGAGAGCCAGCGAGCCAGCCTGCCGGGAGAGGAATTCAACACAGAGGAACACCCCACGCGGGGACACACAAAGAACACTGGGGGACATTGGGTACCAACATGCTGGGAGCTGCCCCCAACCTCCTAGTGACTGCAACCAAAGGCTTCACCTTTCCTTTATTCCAAGTTGAATTAAGTTCCTTCCTTTGCATGTGAATGACTCTTAACATTGACAGCTACAACACTAATTATTTTGATCATTTCAAATTGTGATGAGCAAAATGTTCAAGATGTTGAGGTGTATTCTCCTGCCAAAGCTTCATAGTCTTTAGGTAGTTTCATAAAGCGTCATTACACTTGGTAACCAGCATCCCTCACTCTGGTCATGAGTGGAACCCAGGGCCTGCCCAGCCCTTGTGTTAAACTTTAATTCAAGCTGGATTCGCCAATCATACCCAAAGCGTGAGACTGTACTCAAAATCTTTTATTCATTTTGACTTATCCCTGTTAGAGGAAAAAAAAAACCAAGTAGCTTTCTAGAAGAAACACAAGGTTCTTGCAAACTTAGCACATATTGTAATTCAATGTATGTATGTGTTTCCAAATAGCAATTACTGAGCTTTAAAGGGACTTTTGGAGAAAAAGAGCCATAATGACCATATCATTCATGCTTCAGGGTTTTGGGTTAATTTTATTTTTTTTGAGACGGAATCTCACTCTGTCGCCCAGGCTGGAGTGCAGTGGCACAACCTCTGCTCACTGCAAGCTCCGCCTCCTGGGTTCACGCCATTCTCCTGCCTCAGCCTCCTGAGTAGCTGGGACTATAGGTGCCTGTGACCACACCCAGCTAATTTTTTTTTTTTTTTTTGGTATTTTTAGTAGAGATGGTGTTTCACCATGTTAGCCAGGATGGTCTCGACCTCCTGACCTCGTGATCCGCCCATCTCGGCCTCCCAAGTAGCTGGGACTACAGGCGCCCACCACCATGCCTGGCTAATTTTTTTTTTGTATTTTTAGTGGAGACGGGGTTTCATGTGTTAGCCAGGATGGTCTCGATTTCCTGACCTTGTGATCCGCCAGCACCGGACTCCCAAAGTGCTGGGATTTCAGGCGTGAGCCACCGCGCCCGGCCAGGGTTTTGGTTTTATACATAGAAACTGAAAATTGCTTTACAAGTTCCCAAGATGTATCCAATAATAGCACAATGCACAGAAATAAGAAGCCAAACAGCTACCAGTAATAATGCACATATTCAAAACAACATCAATAGTTTTTGGTACCATAAGTTGAAGTTACACTGCATAATCTTTGAAAGTACTAGCAATGGCTGGGTATGGTGGATCACGCCTGTAATCCCAGCACTTTGGGAGGCCGAGGTAGATGGATCACCTGAAGTCAGGAGTTTGACACCAGCCTGGCCAACATGGTAAAATGCCGTCCCTACCAAAAAAAAAAAATACAAAAAATTAACTGGGCGTGGTGGCAGGTGCCTGTAATCACAGCTACTTGGGAGGCTGAGGCACAAGAATCACTTGAACCCAGGAGGCGGAAGTTGCAGTGAGCCAAGATTGTGCCATTGCACTCCAGCCTGGGCAACAAGAGTGAAACTCTGTCTCAAAACAAAAAAGAAAATAAAAGAAATTACTAGCTAGCAGTGAAATCGGTCACACCACTAAATTCCATACTAAAACTCAATGAGTAGTACTGAAAGCCAGGAATGAAATTAAAGCTTATGAAACAATACTCAGTCCATTATGTCATGATCCAGATACTGAATAAACAGGCATCCTGTGGGCATTTCACTGAACATCTTCAATTCAGCCAAAAGCTGAGTCATGATATCTCTGGTCTGGTTAATTTTCTAACCAAGTATTACCAGCAAGGCTATCTTGAATTATGAATTTGTAACTAGAGCTGATTGAAATCACATTTTGACATTTTGTTTGAACAAAATACTTGTGTTGAGTTCTAAGCTGGGGACACCCTGTATGGATCCCTCGCTGCACTCCTCACCTGTGTTCACATGTCGGTCATGGGCTGATGTGTTTCCACCTGCAGAGGAAGGGGCACCTGCTGGCTCTCTGTGCAGGAAACAGTGTGGAATGAACAGTCCAATATGTTGGGTTAGGGAGTGTCAGCCTAATACAATGACAGAGAGAGGCTCTCCCAAAGTTTATTTGGGACTATGTAGGCAATTGCAAGCTGGGACATATGTGCTATAAGAGATTATAGGGATATCCAAAGAGGCTGGGATTCAGGAAAGCTTAAAGGCAAAGTGAGGAGGTTACAGAAGTTGTTTTGAAACCGTTATCCTTGGCTACAAGGATCAATAGCAAGGGGAGCTTGTGTCCTCATAGAAGACTTGTCTTTGCACAAGGTTGCAGTGGTCTTTGTGCAGCTTGTGGTGTTGCCAGGGTCTTTTGTGGTACTTCTTGTTATCAGGTAAATATTCATGGTTCCTCTTTCATGGGGGGGGGGGTCCATTTTGTGAGGGTTTCACAGGAGTCATTCCATCTCAGCGTCGGTCACTTTCATGGAAGTTCTATGGAAATGCTCAGCATCGGTGACTTTCATGGAAGTTCTACTGAAATGCTCAGTGTTGGTGACTTCCATGGAAATTCTACTGAAATGCTCAGTGTCAGTCATTTTCGTGGAAGTTCTACTGAAATGCTCAGCATTGGTGACCTTCGTGGAAGTTCTACTGAAATGCTCAGCGTTGGTGACTTTCATGGAAGTTCTACTGAAATGCTCAGCATTGGCAACTTCCATCGAAGTTCTACTGAAATGTTCAGCATCGGTGACTTTCACGGAAGTTCTATTGAAATGCTCAGCGTCAGTGACCTTCATGGAAGTTCTATTGAAATGCTCAGCGTCGGTGACTTTCACGGAAGTTCTACTGAAATGCTCAGCGTCGGTGACCTTCACGGAAGTTCTACTGAAATGCTCAGCGTTGGTGACTTTCATGGAAGTTCTACTGAAATGCTCAGCATCGGTGACCTTCATGGAAGCTCTACTGAAATGCTCAGTGTCGGTGACCTTCATGGAAGTTGTATTGAAATGCTCAGTGTCGGTGACTTTCACGGAAGTTCTACTGAAATGCTCAGCGTCGGTGACCTTCGTGGAAGTTCTACTGAAATGCTCAGCATCGGTGACCTTCACGGAAGTTCTACTGAAATGCTCAGCGTTAGTGACCTTTGTGGAAGTTCTACTGAAATGCTCAGCGTTGGTGACCTTCACAGAAGTTCTATTGAAATGCTCAGCGTCGGTGACTTTCACGGAAGTTCTACTGAAATGCTCAGTGTTGGTGACCTTCATGGAAGTTCTATTGAAATGCTTAGCGTCGGTGACTTTCACGGAAGTTCTACTGAAACACTCAGCGTCGGTGACCTTCGTGGAAGTTCTACTGAAATGCTCAGCATCGGTGTATCTCATGGAAGTTCTACTGAAATGCTCAGGGTCGGTGACTCTCATGGAAGTTCTACTGAAATGCTCAGCATCGGTGACCTTCATGGAAGTTCTACTGAAATGCTCAGCATCGGTGACCTTCATGGAAGTTCTACTGAAATGCTCAGTGTCGGTGACTTTCATGGAAGTTCTACTGAAATGCTCAGCGTCGGTGACTTTCATGGAAGTTCTACTGAAATGCTCAGCATTGGTGACTCTCATGGAAGTTCTGCTGAAATGCTCAGCGTCGGTGACCTTCATGGAAGTTCTACTGAAATGCTCAGCATTGGTGACTCTCATGGAAGTTCTGCTGAAATGCTCAGCGTCGGTGACCTTCATGGAAGTTCTACTGAAATGCTCAGCATCAGTGACTTTCATGGAAGTTCTACTGAAATGCTCAGCCTCAGTGACTCTCATGGAAGTTCTACTGAAATGCTCAGCATCAATGACTTTCATGGAAGTTCTACTGAAATGCTCAGCATCCGTGACTTTCATGGAAGTTCTACTGAAATGCTCAGCATCGGTGACCTTCATGGAAGTTCTACTGAAATGCTCAGCGTTGGTGACTTTCATGGAAGTTCTACTGAAATGCTCAGCATTGGTGACTCTCATGGAAGTTCTGCTGAAATGCTCAGCGTCGGTGACTTTCATGGAAGTTCTACTGAAATGCTCAGCGTCGGTGACTTTCATGGAAGTTCTACTGAAATGCTCAGCATTGGTGACTCTCATGGAAGTTCTGCTGAAATGCTCAGCGTCGGTGACCTTCATGGAAGTTCTACTGAAATGCTCAGCATTGGTGACTCTCATGGAAGTTCTGCTGAAATGCTCAGCGTCGGTGACCTTCATGGAAGTTCTACTGAAATGCTCAGCATCAGTGACTTTCATGGAAGTTCTACTGAAATGCTCAGCCTCAGTGACTCTCATGGAAGTTCTACTGAAATGCTCAGCATCAATGACTTTCATGGAAGTTCTACTGAAATGCTCAGCATCCATGACTTTCATGGAAGTTCTACTGAAATGCTCAGCATCGGTGACCTTCATGGAAGTTCTACTGAAATGCTCAGCATCGGTGACCTTCACGGAAGTTCTACTGAAATGCTCAGCGTCGGTGACTTTCATGGAAGTTCTACTGAAATGCTCAGCATCGGTGACCTTCGTGGAAGTTCTACTGAAATGCTCAGCGTCGGTGACTTTCATGGAAGTTTTACTGAAATGTGATGGTATCAACACAGCAGCATTTCCCAAAATGTGTTTGATATTAAAAAGTTATATTTTTTAAACACTCTTTGTTTGCATAGATTTGGAGAAAAGTAGATTGAAGAAGGCGGGATACTTTTGCTATTGTGGAACTTCTCAGCCACCTCACTGTGTTAATTGCACTGTCTGTCTCCAATAATGATTTGCCATGCTTTGGTTTTCAAAATTCTGTGAGTTTTTTTTTTTTTAAATGGGTCAACTTGATGACCATTTATTAAATTCCATGAGAATTTCGTGCTACACACTCAATGGGACAAATCATTGTAATGTAAATTTTCTTATTGTTGGTGGAGAATGATGCAATCATAATGTCACAGGCTGTAACAAATAAAAGATGTTTACACATTTATTTAAAGCTTCACGTTGGCCCCCACAGATGGGACAATGGAATCTGAATCCAGTGGCTGAGGCACAGAAGGCAAAGCTAGGAAAAGCACTGAGGCTTGGACCAAAGGCCCCAAGGACGCAGTTTACTGCTCAGGGCTGTGTCTGAGCTGACTGAGTTGATGGACGCTAGTGGAATGGAAGAGACAGCGCTGGGGACTGCATCAGCTTTGAATATTCCATAAGGTCAGAGCCTGTGGGTGGGATCTCCAAAAGAACTCTCTTAAGTAAGACAGAAAAACACTGGGACACGCAGGTGATTGGAATCGTTATGCAGAATCAGGCTCCAATGGTAGGCCAAGCAGACACTGCTCTCTTACTTAGAGACTCCATCTCTACAAATATTGAAAGAAAAATCACTCATCCCCTTCCTGAGTGAAGGGTTTGCTCATCTGTGTATGATGCTGGATGTAGGGGGGTGAAATCAGACACCGTATGTTTGCTGCTTCTGTCTGAGTGAGAAGGAAAGAAAATCCCCTAGGGACAGACTTTTTTTTTTTGTTTGTTTGTGTTTTTAAGAAAAGGAAATTAAAAACACTAGAGTAGCCTCTTTTAGTCACACAAATATAAGGGAAATAGAAAAGGCAAGGAGCTTCCCCTCACTTGTTGCGGCAGGTGCCAGTGCATAAAGAGTCCAATAACCTTCTGGAAATAAAAATATCTTGATCCTTTTGAACCTCCACCCTATATTTTCCTTCTAAGCTGTGCTGCTGGAAGGAACACACCCCAGAGAGAGCTCTCCTGAACAGGCTGGGCTGGTGATCCAGGCTTCATACAAGATCCTCCACTCTGAGGGCAGAGAGGGAGGCATGCTTCCAAAGCTGCGGTGGCTGGAGCTTTCTGGCACAGGTGAGCTCAGAGCACAAGGGCAAAGAAAGCCAAGAAAACAGACTGTCCCCCAGAGGCTGCAGGAGAAAGCAGCCAACACCTTGATTTTAGCCCTAAGAGACAAGTTCTTAGAGAACTGTAAGAGGATAAATGTGTGTCTCTAATCTACTATATTTGTGTTAATTTGTTAAGCATCGATAGAAAATGAATACAGATAACTTCTTTCAATCATTTAATGTGCTTTTTTTTTCCTATGGGAAAAATGGGATAGAATTTGTTCAGTGCCCATAAATGTAAAGAAATGAAGATAAATAACCATTTTTGGTTGAATAAATTGAGCTTTAGTTTCTTTGTTTGCTTGTTTTTGGTAATATTGTTAAATGGAAAGAAGATATGGACAAAGTAAAATGTTTCTCAATATTACTACAGAAAGGCAGCATTCTAATGAAAGAGAAAAAACATGCAAAGAAATAAAATAAAGATTAGTTTATGGAAGCACATAACCAAAAATGACAGTGGGTTTATTGGTGGACTAGAACCTAAATAGAAGTTCACAATTTAAGGATATTGATGTTGTGTAAAAGCAGTCATCTTTCCCAGCATGTAAAAAGCCATCATATGTGCTGATAAATAATATTATTTTTGAGTCTCAGCTTCTCTATCCACAGAAATTAGAGTGGTGAAATAGACAACAACAAAAACATTGAGACCTAACTATATGTTGTGTACAAGAGACTCACTTTAGATTTCAAGACACACATAGGCCAAAAGTGAAGAGATGGAATAAAATATCTCATGCAAACAAAAGGGCAGGGTGGCTGTACTTAGACAAAATAGAAATTGTTACAAGAGACAAAGAAAAATATTTTATAATGAAAACAGAATCAATCCACCAGGAAGATAGAACAACTGTAAATAAATATGCACCCAACATCAGAACACCTAAATAAAGGTTGAGCATCCCTAATCAAAAAATCTGAAATCTTGAAATGATTCAAGATCTAAATCTTTTTGAGCACTGATATGACACCTCAAGTAGAAAACTCACACCTGACACCTTTGATTTCTGATAGTTCGGTGAACACAAACTATGTTTCATATACAAAATTTTAAAAATACTATATATAATTATCTTCAGGCAATGTGTATTTGGTATATATGAAACAAATATATTTTGTGTTTAGATTTGGGTCCCATCTCCAAGATATGTCATTATGGATATACAAATATTCAAAAATCCAAAAAAAAGTCTGAAAATGAAATACTTCTGTTCCAAAGCATTTGGGATAAGGCATATTCAACCTGTGTATGAAACAAACATTGACAAAACTGAAGGTAGAAGTAGACAACAACACAACAATAGGAGCAGAGTTCAGTATCACCCTTTTAATAAGTCTTAGATCAACCAGATAGAAGAACAATAAGAAAACAAGTTTGAACAACACTATAGACTGAACAGGTAAACAGAACATTCCATCTAACAGCAGTAGAAAACACAAGCTTCTCAAATGTGTACAGGAGCATTCTCCAGGACAGGCCATAGACTTCAAGCCACATATTAACAAATATAAGAAGACTGACATCATACCTAGTATCTTTTTCAACTACAAAAGCATGAAGCTAGAAATCAATAGCAGAAGGAAAATTGGAAAAAGCACAAAAATGTGGAAATTAAACAACACACTCTTGGGGAACCAATGGATCAAAGAAGAAATCAAGAGGGATACTAGAAAATATCTTGAGACAAACCAAAACAAAAACATAGCATAAATAAATTTGTGGGATGCAGCAAAAACAGTGCCAAGAGGGAAGTTTATGGTGGTAAACACCTATGTTGAAAAAGATTTCAAATAAACCAAATAACTTTATGCCTTAAGAAACTAGATAAGAAAATCAAACTAAGGTCAAAGTTAGTACAAAAAAAAAAATAAAGATTGGGGCAGAACTAAATGAAAGAGAGAACATAAAAACAATAGCAAAACTCAATAAAACTAAGAGTTGGTTTTTGAAAAGATCAACAATATTTAACTAGACTAATGTTACGGACTGAATGTTTTGTTCACCCAAAGTTCATATGCTGATGTCCTAGACTACAATAAAATCATACTTGGAGTAAGACCTTTGAGAGATAATTAGACTTAGATGAGGGCATGAGGATGGGTTCCGCTATTGGAATTAGAGTCTTTGTAAGTAGAGGAAAGGAGACCTGAGTGCTCACTGTCTCTGCATGTGAGGGCACAGAAAAAAAGTGAACATCTGCAATAGAGAAAGAAATCCATCCTCAGGAACTGAATCTACCAGCACCTTGATCTTTGATTTCACAGAGTCCAAAAGTATAAGAAATAAATGTCTGTTGTTTACACCATGGTATTTTATTTAAAATAGAAGTTCAAGCTCACTAATATAACTAAGAAAAAAATAGAGAAAACTCAAAGTCAGAAATGAGAGAAGACATAAATGATGCCACAGAAGAAAAAAACAATTATGAGACTACTGTGAACAATTATATACCAACAAATTAGACCACCTAGAAAAAAATTGGATAAATTCCTAGAAACATACAACCTACCAGTCAATCATGAAGAAACCGACAATCTAAGCATACCACTAACTAGGAAGGAGAGTGAATCAGTAATCAAAAACATTCCAACAAAAGAAAAATGAGGAAGAGATGGCTCCACTGGGGAATTCTACGAAACATTAAAGAAAAATTAACATCAATCTTTGTCAAATTCTTTCAAAAACTGAAGAGGACAGAACACTTCCAAACTCATTATGTAAGGCCACAGTTGCCCTTATAATAAAGCAATCAAAGGCACTACTAGTCAACTGAATTCAATAGCACATGAAAAGGATCATATTCTACAAATATGTGGAATTTATCCCTGGGACATAGGGGTACAAATCACATGATTTTAAGACTCATGAAAAGCATTCAACAAAACTCAACAGTCTTTCATTATAAAAATAATAAAAAGTAGGAATAGAAGAAAATTACCCGAACGTAACAAAGGCACTATGTCAAAAGTCCATGACTAACATCATACTCTATGGTGAGAGGCTGAAATCTTTTTCTCTAAGATTATGCCCACTTTTGCCCCTTCTGTTCAACACAGTGCTAGACATCCTAGCCAGAGGAATTGGTCAAGAAAAGAAATAAAGGACATTCAAATTGGAAAATGAAGACATAAAACTATCTCTGTAGAAACATAATCTTATATGTAGATAACCCTAAAGATTCCACTAAAAAATTAGAACTAATAAACAAAAATTCAGCAAAATTTCAGAAGACAAAATTGATACACACAAAAAAGTTGCATTTCTACGCACTAACAACAGACGATCCAAAATAGACATTAAGTAAAAAAAAAACCCACTTACAATAGCATCAAAACAAGTAAAATACTTAAGAATAAACTTAACCAAGGAGGCAAAAAGACTTGTACACTGAAAACTATAATGCACTATTGCAAGAAATTAAAGACACAAGTAAATAAAAAAAACCACGTTAATGAATTGTAAGTCTTAATATTGTTAAAATGTGTATACCATCCAAAGTGATCTATAGATTCAATGCAACATCCATCAAAATCTCAATGGCATTTTTACAAACATAGAAAAAATCCTAAAATTTATATGAAACCACAAAAAATCCTGAATAGCTAGGGCAATGTTGAGAAAGAACAAAGTTGGAGGCATCTCACTTCCTTACTCTAAAACATATTACAAAGCCACGGTAATCAATGGTATGGTACTAAAGACACATATAAACCAATGGAACAGAATAGAGAGCCCAGAAATATACTTATACCTACATTGTCAGGTGATCTTCCACAAAGGGCTAACGCTATACAGTGGGGAAAGGTCAGTCTCTCAATAAATAGTGCTGTGAAAACTGGATATTCAGAAGCAAATGAATAAAATTGGACCTTTATCTTACACCATACAGAAAAATCAACTCAAAATAGATTAACGACTTAAACATAAGACCTGAAACTATAAAATTTCTAGAAGAAAACAGTGGAAAAGATTCATCACATTGATCTTGGCACTGATTTTCACGGATATGACACCATAACCACAGGCAACAAAAGCAAAAGTAGACATTTGGGACCACGTCAACTGAAAAGCTTCTGCACAACAGAAGAAACAATCAGAAGAGTGAAAATGCAACCTATGGTACAGGAGAAAATACCTACAAACCATATCTAATCAGGGGTTAATGTCCAAAATGTATAAATAACTCCTACAACTCAATAGTAAAAAACAAAAAACCTGATTTTCAAAATACGCAAGGGACTTGAATAGACATTTCTCTAAAGATGACATTCAAGTGGCCAGCAAACATGAAAAGGCATTCACTTCACCAAGCATTAGGGAAATGCAAATCAAAACCACACTGAGACACTACCTCACATCCATCAGGATAACTGCTGTAAAAACACACATCCACATAGAAGATACCGTGTTGACAACGGTGTGGAGAAGCTGCAACCCTTGCACATTGTGGGTGGAAAGGTAAATTGGTGCAGCTACTATGAATAGTATGGGGGTTTCTCAAAAAAATTAAAAGACAACCACGAGATGACTTAGCAATCCCTTCTCTAGGAATGCATCCGAGGAAAATGGAATCAGTATCTCCAAGAGAGACCTGCACTCCCCTGTTCATTACAGCACTACGCACAATAGCAAGGATAGGGAAACAGCCTAAACATCAGTCAACAGCAAGAATGGATAAAGAAGTATGGTGTATGCAGGTACGTTATTCAGCCTTAAAAAAGGATACACTGTTATTGTTGACAGCAACATGGATGAAGCTGGAAGACACGGTGATAAGTGACATAAGCCAGTCACAGCAGAACAAACACTGCATTATCTCACTTATATATGGAATCTAACAGGGTCAATCTCTCAGAAGGGGGAGTAGCATGGGGCTGCCAGGGGCAGGAGCTGGGGACACGGGAGTTGCCGTTCCACGGGTGCAGTTTCGGTCATGTGAGATAAAGGGGCGCAGGGATCAGCTGCACAGCAACGTGGATGTCGTTAACACGGCTGAACTCTTCGCCTAAATACTTAAGAGAGTAAATCTCATGTCATGTGCTTGTTACCACACATAAACAAATACGAAAACCAGAAAGATTACGTGATTTCCCAGGTCACACAGTGGAAGGTATAAATGGCACTAACGTTGAGAGATGAATAAGAACCACGGTGTGAAATGTGTTGTAGGGCTTGGCCAGGGCCCTGCTCATGTTATTTTACTTAGTCTTGTAACAACACTTCAAGCTGACGATACATTCCCTGTTTCACACATGAAGAAATCGAGGCCACAGAAGCCTGAAGTCAAACCGACCTTGTGTGACACAGGGAGATCTTCCGCCCGGCTCTTAGACCCCGTTGCCTGTGAAACGTCTACCCAGAGGTATTTACCAACCCTGAAAAAATAAGATTTTAACCTGCTGTAAAGTCCCAAAGTATTCTCTTCTCACACGTCACTCCAGCCGATCGCATTCGCAATGTGCGACACCCTTCAGGTGGAAACGTACCCACTTTACAGATGAGAAAGCGGAGGCTCAGGGAACTCAGGCAGCCGCTCTGCCTCGGAACAGCCAGTCCCTGAGCTCCAGCCCGGCGTTCTTCCACTTCCCCCACACCTAACTCCTACAGCCCTGTCATTTTCCTCTGCAATATATCTGTCCTAATGCCTTAGATTTTTATAAAGTTTTTTAATATTTAACGGTGGCTGAAACAATGATTTTAAATATGACCCACATCTTGGCACAGTTTTCAACAGCTGAGTGCTTTAACACCCTGAATTTTTCCCTAATTAGGTAAAACTTTTAGGACGCCATGAGGCTCTATCCTGTGCTTGTCAAAATGTGAACGGTGAGGTCACCCATCACCGGAGAAAACGTTTTTTCTTTCCCACTCTTTACGCGCAGGCATGCCCCATCTATCACCAGAGTGACACTTTCAATCAACACATAAATGCTAATATTACCAAATGTCCTCAATCAATCTCCTCCAGTGGAAATCACACCTCCTTACGGCACGGTCCATTTTTCCGTCTCAGTGCACAAACTGCTGGACATTTGTCACAAAGTGTCTGTGAGATGACTGGCCCCTCCGATGAGCAGCCATCCTGGGTTCTTAGTTTTCCCAATCATTACCTAATGGCCCTATGGGAAAGGGGGCAAAGGTGAAGTCAATCAGCATTGAAGAGAACCGTTTCCACTGGGCCACAGCAATCTGAACTCAGGCTGCCTTTCACCGCAGGCCACTCCTCTGTCACTGACGGCCCCGTGAATTCAAGGAGGTGGCTGTGGGGACTTGGCCCTCAAAGCAAGACTTGAAAGAGATGGTTGTTCAATGCATGAATGAATACCTGGAATAAGCGAGGATGCTTTGTAGTTTGTCTTAGAATAAGCCCAAGAAGTATAGGATGAAATGCAACAATCACGAGGAACAGCCACACCCCGGAACTCAATTCCACACTTGCGGTGCTGCAGAGAGTCCAAGCCAGGGCCCCAGGCACTTCCTTATGTTTATACGATGAGGCTGTAGCCCTCACATATGAACACACCCTGGAGCTCAGGTCGTGCTCCTTCCGCCCACTGTTTCTGTGGGCGGGAGGTGGTGTACAGGTGACCTGGCTGTCCTGGGGATGGAGGGGGCCTGATGTGCAGCCTTTGCTCACTGCTGAGGTATATGTGCTCCCGCCACAGCCAGTTTCAAGCTCCCAGTGGTTTTGCATAATGGCTGGAAAGTTTTCCGAAAATGCACCATGTGGATTTCTGGGTGGGGGTGAGCCAGACACAGCACAGGAACACGCTGGGCAACTGTGCAGCCGGGAGGTGATGTCTTTGTGAGGCAGGACCCCACTGAGCCCCCTGAACTGCTGTGGTGACTGAATGAGGTGGCTGATGAGAATGGTAAGGTTTCCGGTACAACATCAATACCCAGCAGACATTGCTATTTTCACCAAACCATCTTTGTCAAATTAATAAGGCATCCTTAGCCTCAAAGCTAAGGTAAAATAAAATAAAATGTAGGTGATACAGTCCTCATTTTTCAAATGAGAAAACAGAGATTTAAATAACCTGTGCAAGGTGACAAGGCCAATGTGTTGCAAGACTGGCACTTGAAGTAGAATCTGATCCTTAGCCCAGTGGGACCAGCTGTTTCACTCACTGAAGATTTCAGAACCTTGAAACTATGAGGTCGCCATATTACAAAATGCCCAAGAATAAACTCATAAGCTTTATGGGGAGTGGTCCTGCAGAGACAGCATTTCCTGGGAGGCTGTTGGACAGGCAGAATCTCAGGCTCCACCCTGACCTACTGAGTTTACACTCGCAGGGTTGCTGAACTGTGTGCTCAAACCTGACACGGGGCCCAGCTGCTAGGAGGAGGCCTGCACAGGCCCAGCCTCACTGTGCCCAGGAGCTCAATGGGCAGAGGGGCCTGCATCCCAGTCCAAAGGAGCTCAGGGGGCAGAGGGGCCTGCATCCTAGTCCAAAGGAGCTCAGGAGGCAGAGGGGCTGGCATCCCATTTGAAAGGAGCAGAGGGGAGGAGAGGAGAGGCCGGTACCCCAAACACAGTCAGGAAGCTAAAGGTGCCAGGAGGATTGAGCAGAAGATGGCTTTGGTTGCAACTCGTCATTTTCATTGCACCTTGGAGGAGTAAATGATTTTTACAGTTGGGCATGGTGTGGGTGGAAGAGGTTCCAGAAAAAGGCAGGAACCAAGGCACGAGTGTAGTGAGTTAGAAAGCGATGGTCACCCTGTGGGGCTGTGCAGGGACTGTCAGAGAGGGGACTCTGCTGGTACCACTCTGCAGGGCCAGGGACCTCCAGGTCAGCTGGAAGACACCGAACCATGTCCATGGGGTGAGGACAGCTGTCCATCATGAGACATGAGGGAAAGACTGAGTACAGGACTTTCCCTCAGGAGGGGCTGCAAGAGTCCAGGGAGGGTGAGGGCATGCCAGAGGGCAGGTCAATGAGGAGGAAAGCGCCTCGTGGGCTGGCAGAGAGGGTGGGGTGAGCATTCTCCACCATGGGGGTTGGCGTTCCTGGAACAACCAGGTCAGAGACACTTCAGAGCAGTGGGATGAAGGCTTCAATGGTAAACAGTGTAAATGAGCAGGTGCTTTTCCCCCAGAATGGCAGAAACAACTGGTGACAGAGAAACAAACCCAGGCTGTTGAGCCCGGCTGGATGCGGCCGAGTGGGTAGATGAGAACAGAGGACTCCGTTCACATCCCGTGTGCCTCCAATCTTATTTGGAAGTTGTTGGGTCAAGTGCCCTCTTTCTTCTACCTGTTCAGATTCGTCGGGTTAGATTCAAAGATCTACCTTCCTTGGCAGTGTTCTCTGTAATCGTGAACAGGTTACTCCGTGATTTACCTCCTGGGATACTTTCCTTGGTGTTCCTTTGACTCAGGTTTTTAAACCACCGTTTCCCCTTCAGCAAATAATGGAATTATATCTTCATAAATGTTATTTATACCCTCAGCATTATTATCTTGCCAGAAGGTTAAAAAACATCTGACTTGTGCAAACAACTCTGAATCTATCAGTCTTGCCTCTTCCTGTGCCTCCAGAGACATATTTTAAAGATGAATCCCTGCTCTTTGGAAAGCTGCTTTCACAAAGCACAGTGCTTGCACTTTACCGTAGCTCCAGAGTCAGGTAGACATACACTAAGAGAGGGAAAACAAGGAAATTAAGAGAACTGTGGGCCTGCTTTCTTCTGCTTGTATAAATATTTTATTTGGAAATTTCCAAGTTCTGACAAAGATAAATAACTCCTACACTTATCGGCCGAACAAGGTCAATTTCGTGGGGAGATGGTGTAGAATTTTACCCATTCCAAACTTGATATTGAGAGTAAAAGTAGGAATAAACATATTAAGGAATTGGGAAGACATTTTCTGATAATTTTGTCTTACAAATAATTAACAAAAACATGAAAATCAGGCATCAATTCAAGTCAATCATGTCCCTATTCACTCAAAATATCATTTGCTTTCGTAAGGCTAGTCATTATAGCCTGTTGGGCTTTTCTTTCTTTTCTTTTTCTTTTCCAATAATGACAGCTGAAAAAACTTCATATATCTTTTTTTGGAAGCATGTTGGCATTTACACTTCTATTTTCTCATTTAATAAAATAGACTTCTTACAATCACTGTTCCCTTTCCATCGTCAACATTCATCATGTTTCTCTGAGCCAAAACCTCAGCCTTCACTCAAGTCATCAATGCCAGCAAATGACAGTGTGCTTATATTTCAAAGCACATGTGCAGAAACAGCATCCGGCTGTCCTTGCTGGAAAAATCTGTGATTTATAAATTGCCAAACTCCTGCAAGAAGCACCATACAGATTAGTACAATGGATAATCATAAATAAATGGGCAATCTGGTAGCTTTTCTAAGAGGCAGAGAACACATTTGCACGTGTATCGGGGCAAGCTGTGTTGCAGGGCAACCTCCTTCCAGACCTCCATTCACACAGTGACACTTTCCCTCCTCTTTCAAAGGCTTGAAATTAATTCGACCAAAGCCCAGCAGGAACTAATGTGGTTACATCCAAGTTCCGCTTTCCAGGAAGAACCACCTTCTCCCTCTGCAGAGTCAGTTCCCCTGACCATTTTCTGAGGAATCACCACACATTAAAAAACCATAATTATCCTAATAGGCATCGCAGGGAGGGGGATGCAATGTCTGAAATGTAGAAGGCACTGGGGGGGTGATAGCAAGGCCAGGAGACTGAGGCCATCCGATTTCCTAAATGGGCATACTTCTTTTGTTGTTGTTTATAAAATTTTAATTTAAAAACATTAAAATTTTAAACAGACATTATAAGTTGTTATCCCCTCCAAAAAGCTTATAATTCATTATTTTAGAAATAATCATTTCCAAATGTTGACAAGACCTGAGCCTGGGCGGGCTGTGAGTCTTAGATGACTTAAGCTTAACTTTGATTCTATGTTTAATAATTCTTTTACCCTAAGCAAGATACTTACACTCATCCCCAGGTTCACGATGAACAAACTGAAGGTAATTACACTGTTTGTGTCCTGGGGCTTGGTGGTGATTAATGCAATCATGCATAAACAGTACCCAGCACAGTCCCTGGCATCTGGATGGCACTTAACATACAAGAGAGACTGAAACTGCCTTTGTGAAACTTATGAAGGTGAGAAAAGTAGCATAAGTGACCCCACCTTGCTTCTAACCTCACAAGCTGATGGCCTTGTTCATGCCTGGGCACAGGCCCAGCTCAGAACACAGGAATTTAGCTTCTAGTTTAACCTTAAAGCAAGGATGATAACAGTCCCTTCCCAAAGCTACCCCTGTTCTTGTTCAAGGACCAAAACTGCCTTTGTATAATTAATGAAGGGCCACAAGGTTAGCATTGTGGTAGGAACCTGAATTCTGCTAAGAGCTCTGCATAGGTAAATCATAACTAGTCATTGTTTCTTAACTTGCTTACTGCTCAGGAGTCATGTAGCTGGTGCTCATAAGACTTGTAACTTCCCTAATTGCCTCCATAGATAACATCACTATTGTAAAGACTAAGACTGGTGTTTGAGATAGTTTTTCAGACCTTATATTTTAGTAGAACAACTGATGCCACTTGGACCAGTGACCCCCCCAACCAGGAAACGATTCAGAGCACAAAGACAGTTTGGACATCCCTATCACCCCTGTGGTTTCATCCCCAACCCAGCCAATCAGCAGTTCCCATTGTCTAACCCCTTGCCGGAAGACTATCCTTTAAAATCCTAGCCTCTGAATTCTTCATAAGGAAGATTTGAAAAGTACCTCCTGTCTCCTCCTGCTCAGTTGCCTTGCAATAATTAAACTCTTTCTCTGCTGTAACACATGCTGTCTCATTGTATTGGCTGTTTTGTGCATCAGTCAAGAATAACCCACTGGGCTATAACAAGATTATTTTTAAAGAAAATAATTCATTAGAAATACACCAGGTAAGAAAGCTAGAAGCACAAGTATTAGTTTAAGCTGATTTCTGTTCAACTGTACAACAATTTGTTAATGAAAAGAGTCAAACTCTGTAAAATATTTGAAGAAATTTATTCTCAGTCAAATATGAATGGCCATGGCCTGTGACACCGCCCTCGGGAGGTCCTAGAAACATGTTCCCAAGGTGGTTAGGGCACAGCTTGATTTTATACACTTTAGGAAGACAGCAGACTTCAATCAAATACATTTAAGAAATACATTGGTTTGGTTCAGAAAGGTGGGACAACTACAAGCAAGGACTTCCAGATTAGAAGTAGACTGAAAAATTTTCTTGTTGACAATTGGTTGAGTGTATATAAAGACCTGGGATCAATAGAAAGGAATGTCTGGGTTAAGATAAAGGATTGTGGAGACCACAGTTCTTATTTGCAGAGGAAGCCTTAAGGTAGTAGGCTTTAGAGAATAGGTTGTAAAATGTTTGTTTTCAGACTTAAAGAATATGTTGATGTTAATGCCAGAGAGGCATCATGAGGCACACCCAACACTTATTTCCTATCATGGCCTGAACCAGTCTTTCAGGTTAAATTTTAAGAAATCCCTGGCTGAGGAGGAAGTCCATTCAGATGGCTGGGGGGCTTTAGAATTTTATTTTTGGTTTACAAATTATCCGTGCACACTTGCATTTAGAATAAAACATATAAAGGGCATGCTGTGCTCCAGGCAGGGTCCAGTGGCTGTTGCCATAGGAATGTCAACCTAAAGGAAGAATCTGAGGCTAAATTAATACATGTGGAGACTTTGTTTGAGCCAAGCTTGAGAGTTGCAACCCGGGGATACAGATTTAAATTGCCCTGAATATACACTCCAAAAAGCTGCAGTTACAAAAGGACCTTAAAAAAAAAAAAGAGGCAGTTTCTGAGTTGTTTACCCAAAATCTAAATTAAATACCATAAGCTACTGATTGATTGGCTATGCTTTGTTCTTTGTATCACAAATTCCAGGAACATGAAGATGATGGGTGAGGCAGCAGGGCAGGGGCACAATGCCTTTAAACAGCTGCCCCAGGCAAGGGTGCATGTGTGGGAGTGCAGGACTGCAGCCCCAAATTCATGTCTCCCTGGGACTGATAAATTCTTCAAACCTCACATAGCTGACTCCTCTGAGCTAGTTTTCTCTTCCCAGGGTTGGGCGAGATGCAGCCATTCAGACCCCTTAATGCTGAACTCACATGGCCTTGGCCAAGGAGAGAAAGGAGTGAAATACGGGTTCACACATACAGTGATGGGAGCCAGACAGGGGCCTGACAGGACATGGAGAGAGACAGGGACTTCAGAGTGACAGAGAGGAACAGGGAGTGAGAGATGATGTTGTGGTCTTTAAGAAGAACCAGTGGTTGTAAACTAGTGCTTTCAAAACCAATTTTGCCCTGGTTTGATGATGGTCCTAGTCTCTGGGCAGGGCTGGTGAGGGTCAGCTGGGGTCTGACTTGCCTGAGGGCTCCTTGGTTTTCATGGGCTGAGCCTTAACACCAGGAAGACCCACAGGCTGGTCAGGAGGCTACTGGACCCTGCCCTGCAGGATCCCTGGCTGGAGCTCTAACCCCTCTCAAGTTTTGATCTTCTTACTCAAGGACCCAAAGCCCCCTACCTGTTATGGTGATGCCTGGGTAGGGTTAGTGCTGGGACCAGAGCCCCTGCCTGTTATGGTGCTACCTGGGTAGGGTTAGCACTGGGACTAGAAGGGCTTCACCTTCCTGTTCCGAGTACTGAGCTCTCACCTTTTTTTTCCTCTTTCCCAAATTCCTTTCTAAAGGGCCTGGGGAGTTGTGCCCTACAAACCATTAAATCCCCTTGAACAGATTTTTTTTTTAATTAATCTGTATGATGTGGTTGACTTTCCACCCTGACTCTGGTACAGCATGACGTGGTGGATGCAGATGACTTCATCTTAACTTCAGTGTTCCTTCCCACTGACCTCAAGTCTTTAGACAAAGCTTAGCTCTTTCAACCAACTGCCAGCTAAAGAATCCCCAAAACCCACCTATGACTTGTAAGCCCCCGCTTGGAGATACCCACTTTTCCAGGCTGAAGCAGTGCACACCCTCCATGCACTGACTTACGGTTCACATGAGATTCTGTCAGCCTGAAATGTATGAAACCAAACTGCAACCCGACTGCCTCAGGTGCACCTTCTTGGGACCTCAGGAGACTGTGTGTCCCCAGGTCGCAGTCACTCTGTTGGCTCAGAATAAACCTGTAAGTATTTGGCAGCATTCGATTTCCTGTTGCCATCCTCTTCGTCTTCCTCTAGTTGTGAATGCTGAAGCCCGCGTTGGAGGGAGCTTGCCCCTCCAGTTCATGTCCTGGCTGCCCCTGGAATTCGGCACTGGAGAGGTTGGGTGGGATGTGCAGAACAAACAGGACTTCCTGCTTGAGCAAGTCCGGACATCAGAGCTGGAGATGGGGACTGAGACCACAATCAGCTGTGCACCCTGTGGTCAGGGTGAGCCTGCCCTCTACCCTCCCTAGGACTGGGGCTTCCTGCCTCCAGAGACATCCTTGGATGCGGGGGGCTCTCAGGAGTTCCAGTGCCAGGCAGGGCGGAGGGTGGCCCTATCGGCAGGGCTGCTGGGCCAGGCGCGCCCAGAACAGGGGAAAAGTGCCAGTCCACTCTTCCTATGCATGTCCTGCTTCCCAAATTAAAAGTCCCAGTGAGAGGAAGCTGCCGCTGTCCTACAGAGCTGGGCCAGGCGTGCCCAGAACAGGGGGAAAAGTGCCAGTCCACTCTTCCTATGCATGTCCTGCTTCCCAAATTAAAAGTCCCAGTGAGAGGAAGCTGCCGCTGTCCTACAGAGCTGGGCCAGGCGTGCCCAGAACAGGGGAAAAGTGCCAGTCCACTCTTCCTATGCATGTCCTGCTTCCCAAATTAAAAGTCCCAGTGAGAGGAAGCTGCCGCTGTCCTACAGAGCTGGGCCAGGCGCGCCCAGAACAGGGGGAAAGTGCGAGTCCACTCTTCCTATGCATGTCCTGCTTCCCAAATTAAAAGTCCCAGTGAGAGGAAGCTGCCGCTGTCCTACAGAGCTGGGCCAGGCGTGCCCAGAACAGGGGGAAAAGTGCCAGTCCACTCTTCCTATGCATGTCCTGCTTCCCAAATTAAAAGTCCCAGTGAGAGGAAGCTGCCGCTGTCCTACAGAGCTGGGCCAGGCGTGCCCAGAACAGGGGAAAAGTGCCAGTCCACTCTTCCTATGCATGTCCTGCTTCCCAAATTAAAAGTCCCAGTGAGAGGAAGCTGCCGCTGTCCTACAGAGCTGGGCCAGGCGCGCCCAGAACAGGGGGAAAGTGCGAGTCCACTCTTCCTATGCATGTCCTGCTTCCCAAATTAAAAGTCCCAGTGAGAGGAAGCTGCCGCTGTCCTACAGAGCTGGGCCAGGCGTGCCCAGAACAGGGGGAAAAGTGCCAGTCCACTCTTCCTATGCATGTCCTGCTTCCCAAATTAAAAGTCCCAGTGAGAGGAAGCTGCCGCTGTCCTACAGAGCTGGGCCAGGCGCGCCCAGAACAGGGGGAAAGTGCGAGTCCACTCTTCCTATGCATGTCCTGCTTCCCAAATTAAAAGTCCCAGTGAGAGGAAGCTGCCGCTGTCCTACAGAGCTGGGCCAGGCGTGCCCAGAACAGGGGGAAAGTGCGAGTCCACTCTTCCTATGCATGTCCTGCTTCCCAAATTAAAAGTCCCAGTGAGAGGAAGCTGCCGCTGTCCTACAGAGCTGGGCCAGGCGTGCCCAGAACAGGGGGAAAGTGCGAGTCCACTCTTCCTATGCATGTCCTGCTTCCCAAATTAAAAGTCCCAGTGAGAGGAAGCTGCTGCTGTCCTACAGAGCTGGGCCAGGCGTGCCCAGAACAGGGGAAAAGTGCCAGTCCACTCTTCCTATGCATGTCCTGCTTCCCAAATTAAAAGTCCCAGTGAGAGGAAGCTGCCGCTGTCCTACAGAGCTGGGCCAGGCGTGCCCAGAACAGGGGGAAAAGTGCCAGTCCACTCTTCCTATGCATGTCCTGCTTCCCAAATTAAAAGTCCCAGTGAGAGGAAGCTGCCGCTGTCCTACAGAGCTGGGCCAGGCGTGCCCAGAACAGGGGGAAAAGTGCGAGTCCACTCTTCCTATGCATGTCCTGCTTCCCAAATTAAAAGTCCCAGTGAGAGGAAGCTGCCGCTGTCCTACAGAGCTGGGCCAGGCGTGCCCAGAACAGGGGAAAAGTGCGAGTCCACTCTTCCTATGCATGTCCTGCTTCCCAAATTAAAAGTCCCAGTGAGAGGAAGCTGCTGCTGTCCTACAGAGCTGGGCCAGGCGTGCCCAGAACAGGGGGAAAAGTGCGAGTCCACTCTTCCTATGCATGTCCTGCTTCCCAAATTAAAAGTCCCAGTGAGAGGAAGCTGCCGCTGTCCTACAGAGCTGGGCCAGGCGTGCCCAGAACAGGGGGAAAGTGCCAGTCCACTCTTCCTATGCATGTCCTGCTTCCCAAATTAAAAGTCCCAGTGAGAGGAAGCTGCCGCTGTCCTACAGAGCTGGGCCAGGCGTGCCCAGAACAGGGGGAAAGTGCCAGTCCACTCTTCCTATGCATGTCCTGCTTCCCAAATTAAAAGTCCCAGTGAGAGGAAGCTGCCGCTGTCCTACAGAGCTGGGCCAGGCGTGCCCAGAACAGGGGGAAAGTGCCAGTCCACTCTTCCTATGCATGTCCTGCTTCCCAAATTAAAAGTCCCAGTGAGAGGAAGCTGCCGCTGTCCTACAGAGCTGGGCCAGGCGTGCCCAGAACAGGGGAAAAGTGCGAGTCCACTCTTCCTATGCATGTCCTGCTTCCCAAATTAAAAGTCCCAGTGAGAGGAAGCTGCTGCTGTCCTACAGAGCTGGGCCAGGCGTGCCCAGAACAGGGGAAAAGTGCGAGTCCACTCTTCCTATGCATGTCCTGCTTCCCAAATTAAAAGTCCCAGTGAGAGGAAGCTGCCGCTGTCCTACAGAGCAGGAGCTATTTGAAATGTAGGACCCTCAAGAGACAAATGTAATCATAACATAATTCATAACAAGCCAGAAGCAAGAAACCGGCCTTGTCTAAGGAGTGAGATCCCTGCCCTGAGGTCTTCACAGAGGACTTGCTACGAAGGCTCTGATTTGCATTAATTAGGTCCTCAAGAAGGTTTTAAATATTAAAGGAAAATATCTTTTCCAGAGTCTGAATTACCTAAGTCCCAGGCTACAGCATGTTGTTCATTAAAAGAAAATAAAACAGGCTGGGTGAGGTGGTGCACAGCTGTAATCCCAGTGCTTTGGGAGGCTGAGGTAGGAGGATGGCTTGAGCCCAGGAGTCTGAGCCTGCAGTGAGCTATGACTGTGCCACTGCACTCTAGCCTGGGCAACAGAGTAAGACCCTATCTCAAAAAAAAAAAAGCGATAAAAATTAGGAAACAAAAAGAGCATTGTTGGGTCTCAGCAGGTGGCTCCCTGAAGCCTGGCACATGGATGTGCTGAGGGCCCCAGAAGCTGCCTCGGAATCAAGGTCCCTCCAGCCTTGTCTTGTTTCTCTCCCAAGTGCAGGAAGAAACTCACTGGAGTCTCATTTGACTGAGAAAGCTTCTTTCAAAGGAAATGCAACTGTCTTAAGACTGCCTCCCCAGGGATCTCATTAAACAGCTGGGAAAGATCAACCTCCAGAGAAGAGAAGAGACTGGAGGCGGCCACCAAGCCCAGACTTTCCCCCTGTTCTTCTGAGGGCAGCTCCCGGAGGTTACCTGGGAGACTTCGTCTGCAGCCAAGACAACCTTCACTCCCACATACCCTCCCTGGAGCACGGGACTGAGCAACCCCACTCCTCCTTTCTGTGAGGAGGGCATTCGGGCCTCAGCCATCTGGACCCTCTGAGTTCACATTTCCCAAGACCTCCATGAACACATGTGAGTGTAATAAATGTTCTCTGCTTCTCTCTTGTTAACATGTGTTTCTGCTGTAGGGGTGTCAGCTGTGGCCCTTTTTCATGGGGAACAAAGGGATCATCCTGAGCTTCCTGATGTGTACAGAAAGCACAGAGTTCAAGGGGGAAGATTCAGAGGATCACAGGTGAATCCGGTCATCTGGAAACTCCTGTGAGCATCTCCAACAGCAGAGACACACGTAGACTCCTGCAAACCCAGCTCAGCTGCCATCCTCCCTTGGCAGCCAAAGGTCTCAGAAAGGCACGTTTCCAAAACTTGGTTTTCTCACCTATAAATTGGGGCAAACCCCAGTCTGTGTCTATTGGGAGAATTAAGTGAGATACTGCACGTAAACTCTGGCACAATTTAAACATCAAAAATGGCAGCTATAATTTAGGCTAATAATTTAATTTCTTTCTTTGAGCCAGGTGTCTTGCCTGTAAAATGGGGATATTTTGTTATAAAAAAATTAGGAAGAAAATAAACTGTAATTGCCCTGTGCAAAACATCCCACATTAATTCAATGAATTATTAATAACAAAAAGATGGAAAAATTATTTTCCCATTTAGGAAAAAATGTGAAATAATAGCAAACCTAGGATGCTTTTATAATTAATGCAAATAATAATAAAATGTCACTATTCTACCATTCAATTTTAGAAAGACAAATCACATTTATGTCAAACATTTTATTTTTGTACTGGCTCACTTTTGTGAACATATGCACTTACATTAGAGATATTTCACATTAGAATCTTTTTCAATTGAAAGAATAGAGGTGATCATATCTTTTTGGAGAGACGCCATTTTCAACAACATTTTGTTATTTGGTATTTATTAATTCCTAGCATGAACCAGCTCTACAGAACCTGGAAAAGAAAAATGACCCACTTTGCAAAAGAATCTCTCCTTCGATTAGTATGAAATGTTTGCCCTTTCTATCCTGGAAAGGATAAAGAATGGCGTTTTGTAATCGGGCTGTTGGGTGATGATCTCATTTATTCAAATGCCAAGTCCACCCTCTGTCTGCATAGACTCCTCTTCCCACCCCTTCTTCCAGGGTAATAACAACCGGCATCTCGGTTCTTTAAGTCACTTCTCCAAATTCACAGTCTCTGAGGTCTGCAAGTTTTGTTACCTAAATCAGTAAATTTAGACAGATGTGAGGATTTGCTTTAATTGTTAGCTCCAGTTTTTTGTGGGGAGGAGAGAGAAGACCTTGGGAACATACAGAAAATTGTCAGAGGCCATGGAGAGGGAGGCGAGTGCCTCGGTGCCTCTTCTGTGCCTCCACAGAGCTTCCACCCCTCTGGGAGCACCCGGAAGCAGCCTGTGCTGCATCCCAGCTTGATTTCAGTTCGATGCGGCCAGTGAGCGGACGGTGCGAGGCCTTAAGCAGTTTCTAGTCTGCAGATCCGGGAGTGCTGCAGCAGCCAATACTCTCATTTGGTCGTTAGCATAGGGACAGGGGGTGCTGCCCTTTCCCCCACCTGACCATCTTGTCTCCAGCCTGTATGCAGATGCCAGTGCACAGCTCTTGGGCTGCAGTGGAATGTATTTGTTTCTGTGGGTTAGGCAGTTATGGCTTCCTCTACTGTGGTGTGGCAGAAGGGTTTACATTTTCCTCTTGATATTCATCAGCTTAAGATTCACACATCAGAGAAATAATCAGCCCTCACAATGAGCAAGTCTTTTTACTGATGAGATGTGACAAGGCTTCCACTCAATTTGAGGGAAAACTGGCAGGAAGCCCTCCTCCTGGAGTCTGGAAAAATATAAAAACAGCTACAAACCATTCCTTCTATCAATGTGAGAACTGAAGTGAGAATTCAAGGTGGCTCCAGCCCCAACTAGCACATGTTAGATAACTCTGGTAAGTGATTGTTTTGTATCATGCATTAGGGAGTTTAAAACACTGCTGTCAAACAACAAAAGAAAAAGATAAAGTGGACTTGATCAAAATAAAAAACTTTCGTGCATCGAAGGACATTTTCAAGAGAGTGAGAAAAGACAAACTACAGAATGGAAGAAAATATTTACACATCATATATCTTAGAAGGATTTAATGTCCAGAATTTATCAAGAACTCCTACACATCAACATCAAAAAAACAAAAAATCCACTTTAAAAATGGGCAGAGGACTTAAGTTTCTCCAAAGAAGACACACGGATGTCCCCTTAACACATGGTAAGATGTGTCACATCATCAATCATTGGGGAAATGCAAACAAACAAAACCCTCAAAATGAGATACCACTTCACACCTACTACAATGGCTATAATATTTTAAAAAGGAGAAAAGAAAAACATTGATGAGGATGCGGAGAAATTGGAACCTTCATTGCCAGTTGGAATGTAAACAAGTATAGGCGCTGTGGAGAACAGATGAGCAGTTCCATAAGAAAGTTAAATAGAGTTATGATATGACCTAGGAAATTCACTCCCATGGGTATTCCAAAAAATAAAAAAGGGACTCGAACAGATACTTGCATGTAAATGTGCATTGCACCATTATTCACAATAGCCAAAAGGTGAAATAACCCAGAGTGCTCATCAACAAATATTGAATAAAATATGATGTATCCATGAAATGCAATATAATTCAGCTCTAAAAAAGAATGTTCTGGTACATATTCCAACATGGATGGACCTTGAAGACATTAAGCTCTAAGCAAAAGAAGCCAGATAGAAAAGGTAATCTATTCTACTATTGCACTTCTATGAGGCACCTAGAAAAAGCAAATTCATAGAGACAGACAATAGAATAGAGGTTACCCAGAGCTGGGGATTGGGAGAAGGGGAAAATAAATTTTGTTTCTATCTGCTTATAATGAATAATCTGAAAAAGAAATTAAGAAAACAATCCCATTTACAATAGGATGAAAAAGTAAAATGCTAAGGAATGAACTTAACCATGGATGCAAAGGTCTTGTAGAATGAAAACTAAAAAAAATTGTTAAAAGAAAGTAATGAAGACACCAACAAATGGAAAGGCATCCCATATTTATGGGTTGGAAGGCATAATGTTATTAAGGTGTTAATATTGCCAAAAGTGAACCTCAGATTCAATACATTCTCCATTCAAATCCCAAAGACATTTTTTTAAATAGAAAAATGCCTCTGTAATCTTAAAGGATCCTGACTAGCCAAAACAATCTTGAAAACAAATAAACAAAGTCTGAAGTCTCATGGTTCCTGATTTTAAAGCTGATGGCAAAGCCACAGTTATCAAAACACTGTACTGGTATAAAGAGAGACATACAGATGAATGGAATACACCAGAGAGCACAGAAGTAAAACCTGGCCTATGTGGTGCCATGTAAGTCTGTGATTCAATCAGAAATGTCCGTGCAATGGGGAATGAGCAGTTTTTTAATCAACTGGTGCTGGGAAAATTAGATATCCGGTTGCAAAACAATGAATTTAGGCTCTTACCTTATACCATATATAAAAATTAACCCCAAATGAATCAAGGACCTAAACATAAGAATTAAAACTTTAAAAAGTTTAGAAGAAAACATAGGGAAACACTTATGACATTGGGTTTGGCAACAATTTCTTGGATATGACACAAACAGCAAAGGCAATCAAAGAAAGCATAGATAAATTAAAAGAGATAATTAGATTGCACCAACATTAATAACTTTTGTGCATCAAAGGACACTGTAAACAAAGAATAAAGAGAAAACTCCCAGAATGAGAGAAGACATCCGCAAATCACACATTTGATAAGGAGCTAATATCTAGAATATTTAAGAACTCTTATAAATCAGCAACAACAACAACAAAAGACAACTTGATAAGAAAATGGGCAAAAAATCTGAATATTTATTTAGGGAAGATATAGAAGTGTCCAATAAGCACATGAAAAGATGTTCAACATCAATAATCATTAGAAGATACAAATAAAACTCCAGTGAGATAACATTTACCATCCATTAGGATGGCCAGTACTCTCCTAGGAAGTGTTGTTGAGGATGTGGAGAAACTGGAACCCTTGTGCATTCCAATTTCCTTTGTTGGTGGAAATAAAATAGTGCAGCTGCTACAGCAAAGAGTATGGGAGTTCCTCAAAAAATTAAAAATAGAATTACCACATGATCCAGCAATTCTACTTTTGTTCAATACCCGAATAATTTAAAGCAGGGACTCAAGCAGATATTTGAGCACCTGTGTTCACAGTAGCATTATTCACAAGAGCCAAAGAATGGAAGCAGCCTAAGTGTTGGGTATATGCATATAATGGAATATTATTCAACCTAAAAAAGAAAAGAAACTATGGCCAAAGCAATTTATAGATTCAATGCAATCCCTATCAAAATTCCAATGACATGTTTGACTGAAACAGAAAAAAAATTCTAAAATTCATATTGAACTGCAAAAGACCTTGACTAGCAAAAGCATTATTGGGTAAATAGAACAAAGCTAGGGGCACTGCACTACCCAACTTCAAAATATACTACAAAGCTGTAACAACCAAAACAGCATGGTACTAGTGCTAAAACAGAAATATAGACAAAAACAGAATTGAGACCCCAAAGATAAATCCACGCTTTTACCATCAGTTGCTCCTTTACAAGGGTGGCAAGAACACACAACGGGGAAAAGATAGTCTCTTCAATAAATGATGTGGGGAAAACTGGATATTCACATTCAGAAGAATGAAATCAGATATTTATTTCACACCATATAAAAAATCAACTCAAAATGGATTAAAGATTTAAATGTAAGACCAAAAACTATAAAACCACTAGGATAAAACATAGGACAAAATATTTTTGGCATTGGTCTGGGCAATGATGTTTTGGATATGATTCCAAAGGCATAAGCGATGAAAGCAAACAGACAAATTAAAGTCCATTGAACTAAACAGTGTCCGCACAGCAATAAAAATAATAAACAAAATGAAGTGACTACCTAAAGAATGGAGGAAATATTTACAAGCCATGCATTTGATAAGGGGTTAATATCCAAAATATATAAGGAAGTCAAAGCACTCAAAAGCAAGAAAACAACCTGATTTTAAAATGGGCGGAAAACTTGGACAGGCATTTCCCAAAAGAAGACAGACAGATGGCCAGCAAGTCTATGAAACAAATGTTCAGTGTCACTAAGCACAGAGAGAGTGGGGAGAATTGGAAATTGACACCTCCAAACTGGTAGGTATTATTGTGTCTGGTACTTTTCTCTTTGAAAATCTGTATCAAAAGAGGCATATTTTGGATTTATCTCTTTACCAATGCCTTTGAGTTGAAATATTATAGTATTTTAATTTCAAGACTAATATTATTTTGACTTCCAAAATATAGACCATAATGGGGACGGTCCCTTCCAAATAAAAAAGATAGGAAAACAAAGCAATGAGAATATGATTTGTTTGATCTGGTGACGTAAACCATGACTGTGATGTACCTAAAAGAAATGTAAAACACACCAGCCTCTCTCTAAGGACACCCAGAAGACGGGTTTGAAGGCTGCATTTCTATCTTAGAAGCTGGAGTGTTTACCAGGGACAGTTCTCCCAGTGTGAACATCCATCTCATATTTTGCCAAATCCAATCACAAGCAAGTTATTTAAGCTCATTGGACAGAACCTGAGTGTGCCTCACGTGGTTTCTCGGTGTTCAATCCAGACCCACACAGGCTGAAGTACATGTCTAGATTTAGTGCAATGATACTTGGAAAACGGAATTCACTCGTAGGACTCCAGTCTAATTTTTAATTTATCTTAGAAGCTCTGATGGTCGAAAATAAAGTAATTAGAAATTTTCTTGGTTTTCCCTGGGCCCAGACTGGCTTTACTTACCTACATGGCTATTGTTTTAATGCTCTAACTTCCTCACCTGCCTGTGAATCCCCAAAGCCAGGGTCAGAGAGGAGCATGAGTCCTTCCTTCTCACACAGAAGCTATAGCCCTGGTTCACCTTTCCTGGACAGCAGGCAGCGTGGTTGGCTGCTGACGGCTCAGGCCACTGCTGGGCTTCTCTCAACACTGAGAGAGCCAGGAAGTATGTCAGGACCCATTCTGTCATGTCTCCTAAAAATTAGCTTATATGTTGATAAAGTTTCTCAAAGCATGGTTAATTGCAGGAAACATTTACGGAGCATCTGTCACATGGAAAGCCAGCAGCTGATGCAGAGGAACGCACGGGGGTATGTTCAAGGTCCTCTACGCAAGGAGCACAGGCTCAGTGCGCTTTAGGGTCACAGTGGCTGGGCCCCAAGTTGAGAGACAAAAACACATGAATCTCTTTATGAAAAGGGCAATTAGTGGGATAAGATTATAATCAAGAAGAAACAACATAACCATTTAAGAAACAATTCACTTTTCTGTAGTCTTTTGAGTACTTTGTCCATGCACGTTTTGAACATTCATTTTTATTTTTATTTCAATAGTTTTTGGGGAATGGGGGTTTTTGGTTACATGGTTAAGTTGTTTAGCAGTGATTTCTGAGATTTTGGTGCACCTGTCACCCATGCAGTGTACACTATACCCAATGTGTAGTCTTTTATTCCTCAGTCCCCTCCCATCCTTCCCCCCAATTCCCCAAAGCCCATTGTATCATTTGTATGCCTTTGCGTCCTCATCACTTAGCTCCCATTTATGAATGAGAACGTGATATTTGGTTTTCCATTCCTGAGTTACTTCACTTAGAATAATGGCTTCCAGCTCCATCCAAGTTGCTGCAAAAGACATTATTTTGTTCCTTTGTATGGTTGAGTAATATTCCATGGAGTATATGTACCATACTTTCTTTATCTACTCATTGGTGGATGGGCACTTAGGTTGGTTCCATGTCTTTGAAATTGCTAATTGTGCTGCTATAAACATTTGTGTGCATGTGTCTTTTTCATATGACTTTTTTTTCCTTTGGGTAGATACCCAATAGTGGGGTTGCTGGATCAAATGGCAGTCCTACTTTTAGTTCTTCAAGGAATCTCCACACTGTTTTCCACAGTGGTTGTGCTAGTTTACATTCCCACCAGCAGGTAAAAGTGTTCCCTTTTTATCACATTCACACCGACATCTATTGTTTTTTAACTTTTTGATTATGGCCATTCTTGCAGGAGTAAGGTAGCTTATATGTTGTGGTTTTAATTTGCATTTCCCTGCAAATTACTGATGTTGAGCATTTTTTCATATGTTTGTTGGCCATTTGTATATTTTCTTTTGAGAATTGCCTATTCATGTCCTTTGCCCACTTTTTGATGAGATTATTTGTTTTCTTCTTTCTGGTTTGTTTGAGTTCCTTGCAGAGTCTGGATATTAGTCCTTTATCGAATATATAGATTGCGAAGATTTTATCCCTTTCCGTGGGTTGTCTGTTCACTCTGCTGATCATTTCTTTTGCTGTGCAGGAGCTTTTTAGTTTAATTAGGTCTCATCTATTTGTTTTTGCTTTTTGTTGCATTTGCTTTGGGGTTCTTGGTCATGAACTCTCATTGGCCTAAGCCAATGTCTAGAAGAGTTTTTCTGATGTTACCTTCCAGAATTTTTATAGTTTCAGGTCTTAGATTTAAGTCTTTGATCCATCCTCAGTTGATTTTTGTATAAGGTGAGAGATGAGGATCCACTTTCATTTTTCTGCATGTGGCTTGCCAATTATCCCAGACCCATATATTGAATAGAGTTCTCTTTCCCCAATTTATGTTTTTGTATGCTTTGTCAAGATCAGTTGGCTGTAAGTATTTGGCTTTGTTTCTGGGTTCTCTATTCTGTTCCATTGGTCTATGTCTGTTTTTGTACTAGTACCATGCTGTTTTGGTGACTATAGCCTTCTATTATGGTTTGAAGTTGGGTAATGTGATACCTCCAAATTTGTTTTTTTCTTAGTTTTGCTTTGGCTATGTAGGCTCCTTTTTGGTTCCACATAAATTTTAGGTTTGCTTTTTCTAGTTCTGTGAAGAATTATGATATTTTGATGGGGACTGAATTTGTAGATTACTTTCAGCAGTATAGTCATTTTCACAGTATTGATCCTACCCATTCATAACCATGAGATGTGTTTCCATTTGTCTGTGTCATCTATGATTTCTTTCAGCAGTGTTTTGTAGTTTCCCTTGTAGGGATTTTTCACCTCCTTGGTTAGGTATATTCCTAAATATTTTACTTTTTGCAGCTGTTGTAAAAGCGATTGAGTTCTTGATTTAATTCTAAGCTTGGTCATTATTGGTGTATAGCAGTGCTACTCATTTGTGTACATTGCTTTTGTATTCTGAGACTTTACATGATTCATTTATCAGATCTAGGAGCTTTCTGAATGAGTCCTTACAGTTTCTAAGTACAATCATATCATCAGCAAACAGCGATAGTTTGACCTCCTCTTCAAAATTTTAGATGTCATTGATTTGTTTTTCTTGTCTGATTGCTCTGGCTAGGACTTCAGTACTATGATGAATAGAAGTGGTGAGAGTAGGCGTCCCTGTCTTCTTCCAGTTCTCAGGAGAAATGCTTTCAACTTTTCCCCATTCAGTATGATGTTGGCTGTGGGTTTGTCATAGATAGCTTTTATTACCTAAAGTCATGTCCTTTCTATGCTGATTTTACTGAGGGTTTTAATCATAAAGAGATGCTGGATTTTGTCAAATTCTTTACCTGCATCTATTGAGATGATAATATGGTTTTTGTTTTTAATTTTATGTGATGTACCATATTTATTGACTTACGTATGTTAAACCATCCCTGCATCCTCAGTATGAAACCCATTTGATTATGGTGTATTATCTATTTGATATGCTGTTGGATTTAATTGGCATATTATGTTGAATTTAATTAGCAAATTATTAGCATAATTTTCTTGAAGATTTTTACACATATGTTAATCAGATATATTGTCTGTAGTTTTCTTTTTTTGTTCTGTCTTTTCCTGGTTTTGGCATTAGGGTGATACTGGCTTCACATAATGGTTTAGGGAGGATTCCGTCTTTCTCTATCTTTTGGAATAGTTTCAGTAAAATTGATACCCATTCTTCTTTGAATGTCTGATAGAATTAAGGTGTGAATCCACCTCGTCCTTGTCCTTGCACTTTTACAACACACATCAGGTAACATTATAGTAAGTTCTGTTTGTATTTCTATTTTCCCCTAATTTCTGAATGGCCAATTCATCTTAATGTCTCAAAATTAACAGGGATAACTTTTCACTCACTAGCAGAGAGACCTTTGGACATAGTAAATTTTTGACATATGTTTACCAAATGAATGTAGAAAGGAAGGACACAACTTCACAGGAAGACAAACTGAGAACTGGAACCCAACAAAGGCCTGGAGATGAGACGTTGCAGCGCATGTCCTTGGAACAGCTGGAGGGAAGAGGCAGCCGAGCAGGCACCAGGCTGGGTTGTGTCGTGAAGAACAGCTGGAGGGAAGAGGCAGCCAAGCAGGCACCAGGCTGGGTTATGTCGTGAAGCTGGAAACCGCGCCAGGGCATGAACTTCAGGCCTTCCTGGTACCCTGCCCAGGAGTGTGCATTTTTCTGAACATGCAATGAGAGATCTTAAAGCTCTTGAGCACCATTGAGACATCTGATTATCTGGCAGGCTTATCATACCTTTACTCCTTAAAATAAGAAAACGATGACTTCACAGCCAGAGAGATGCCAGGCTGAGGTAGAGGCCACACACTATCAAGTGAGCTACTGACAGCCTGCAAGTGCAATGCTGAGAGCATTCAAGGCCACACAAGGATCCCCCAAAGTGTGCCTCAGACAAGGTCAAGAACTGGGATTCCATTGGGTGGGACTCTCAGACCCACAAACTTCATAAGGCTTGTCTCACTCAAGTTACCAGTCAAGATTACCAGGCAAGGAAAGAATAAAGTCAAGGGATCCTGGTTCCAAGTCATTCCCAGAAGTTATTTCCTACATTCCCCACCCCCGGATAGTTGTAAAGTTATTAAGACAAAGTCAGTTGGACTTAGCTCGCAGCAGAAGGTCTGCTTCACAGTATTCCAGTCTAGCACCAGTGGTTTCACTTCTTTAGGCCCAAATTTACACAGCATGCTTTTAAAATTGCAGCTGCTTTCTAGTGTTTGTAATTAGGACCTGTCATTTCATTTGGGACCAATTTCCATTAGCTCCAAACTAAAAGGTGAATGACAGTGAGTTCTTTTGCCCTGAAGAGAAGAGTCCATTGCAGCTCTGACCCTCATGGGTGCTCTAGGGGATTAGAGAGGTTTCAGCAATGTTGTCCAGGACACGACGTGGCCTCACAGAGCATCCCTCACTGGAAGAACATTTTAGGGACTCTTGCTTTTGGAAAGGTAAAGAAAGAAATGGTCAGTCTGCTGCCCCAAGGTGATGGGAGCTTCTGAAACACACAGGAGCAAGTCACAACTCACTGCTAACACCCAGAGGACAAGTCACAACTCACTGGTGACAACCTGAGGAGTGACACTCATCAACCGGCACACATCGACCTGATAGACTATGCCAGCCTTGGTCACTTTTGAAAAGGAATTGCTAAAATTATGGGACACTGCTTACCAAAACTGAGCTCTCCTTTAAGGGGCACCCTGTTGGCAACACCCGCTGGATTTATGGAGCTCTGTCTTGCAAATACCTATGTAAATGGACCCATGTGACTCAAGGTGACCCTAAAAAACAATGGTCACAATGCAAGTCTTTTGAAATTCTTAAATTAATATGTTTGCATGCACAATTTTAAAAAGCAGGTTGTGGAACCTGACTAATTGAATGGGAAACATACTTTCTGTCTGTCCCACCTGAAATCTGATAATAAGAGATTTAAATTTTTTGGTTTTTTGAGAGTTTTCCTTTAACTTCTCAAGACATCCTTGTGAACGGTCAAACTGCCTGCTCCACCTTGCTGCACAGATTACAAAAGGAACACCAGGCTTTCCCAGGCCTTTCCCAGTCCCTGGGAAATGTAAGTATTATCATGTCTTTGCCATAGTCTCATCTAGGGAATTAGCTAGGCAGTATTCCAGGTGAGATCAGATTTGAAACAGCATGGAAATTCTTTAGACCACCACAGAATCCCTCTCCTCAGAGGATGCACTTAGCTTAGGAGAGAAATATGTATAAGAATTAATTTGAATTATTTGTTTAAATTATTTATATTGCTTTTGACCTTTTAGGGGACCCATGTATAATCCTTTCTACTGAAGAAAACCAAAATATTCCTCTCAAAAACACTGAGAATTGTTGAGCTGAAGAAGGTGAAAATGCCAGGGACCTTGTCCCATCTTCCACTAGCCTGATGGCGGAACAGCAGTGTACAAAGATAGAGCTTCCTGGCCTCCTCTCCTCCTTTCCCACCTCAAAAGGCCCCTCACAACACTTGTTTATCTGCTCAGAGGCAGTGGCACCAGAGGCTCTAGGAACAGATTTTACTCTTCCCATAAATTCACCTCCCACATTTTCCCACCTCTTGGAAGCCTGGAAATGCTCTTTTCTTTGTTTAGTCACTATATAGGATTTGTGGTTCTTTGCAAAAATACTATGTGAGCACAGTCCCCAAGCAACTGTCTTGACAGAGAAAAACTTCCGAGGCCTCCCCCACACGATGGGTACAACACTCGTCAATAAGCGTCAAAGGCCTCCCCCACACGATGCGTACAGCACTCATTAATAAACTTCTGCTGGTTTCTTCTTGTCAATCGGACTTTTGTTTTCAGGAAAGTGTCAAAACTAAGAACACATGAAGGAAAGAAAAGCAATTATATTTTCTTCCCTGCACTACCCCCATGGACACTTTTGTTTTCCTGTTTTCCTGGCTGTTCCTTTTAACCTGGCCATTGTGCGTAGACAGGCAGCTGAGAAGTGAGACCCTGGAAGATTTTACCTGACAGATACAGCTGCACCCCATCTGATGCTACCAGAACTTTCTTTCTCAAGCTGACCCTGGAGGTGTCTGGATCTTGAAAAGGCGGAGAGTTTTGCTTCATCTTTGGAGACCTTGGTTAATGCCAGGGAGAACTTCTTAAGTTGGGCTCATGCATATTTATTTGTGTTCATTTTGAGTCATCTGTGCACATACACCTTTGGTTTAAAATTTTGGTTTATATTTAGAATGCGATAGACATTTTTTGTTGTTGTTGTTGTTTTTTAGCCTTTTCTCTTAAGCTAAATAAAACCATTTACTCAGAGAAAAAGGAAACATTTTATTAAGCCAAAGACAAACAGCTTTAAATAATGATTACCCTAGATCTCTAATAAACAAATATGTCCCACTTCTAAAACTCTTTCTGTAAATTCCAAAAAGAAAAAAGAAAAAAAAACCAGGAATGTTTGCTAATTGCCCAGCTAATACCTTATAAAAGGATTTTTTAAGAGTCTGTAGTCAAAAGTAACCTTAATTAAAGCTAGTATTAAGTGTGTGGGTGTGTAAATGTGTCTGTGTATGTGCGTATGTGTATATGTGCATGTGTGAATCTGTGCGTGTGTGTATGTGTGCATGTGTGTGTGCATGCATGTGTGTATGCGTGTGCATGTGTATGTGTGTGTATGCATCTGTGTGTGTATGTGTATGTGTGTATATGTGCGTGCATGTGTGTGTATGTGTGTGTGTGGATACACACGTTTTGAGGCTTCTGTTCTTTCTATGAAAGCATCTTGGTGACAGAGTCCCTCTTTTCTTAAACCCCTGCTAACCAATGCACTCATTTTGTGTGTTTCTCCACTAGTTGATAGAATTTTTGCCAAGGATAATGTGAAACTTTATTAGCTTTTTGGAAAACAAGAGCTCCTCCATCTGTCTCCTCTAAGATCTGTCCTTCATTTACTTCTTTCTGTTCCTTCTTTCTCCTGTCCCGTTCAATACCACAAGAGAGGACCTAAAAAAATCTTCTAACAGCCCTAAGACCTCTTGAGGAAACCAGAATTGGTGCCACAAAACTCTTTTTTGGAGAGGAACTCTTTTTCCTCACGGAGCCCCAGAGTTGTGGGTGGACAGCTTCTTCTCAGGTGTAAAGCTCTATTCTTTTTTATTAAATTCCTTAATTTTTAAACATTTAGATACATACACAGGTACACGTATGTCATATGTTGTATCTGCATGCATGTACGTGTCTATCCACATGTTTGTATATTACCTACATGGTACCTAACATGGTTTGGATCTGTGTCCCCACCCAAATCTCACATGGAATTGTCATTCCCAGTGCTGGAGGTGGGGCCTGGTGGGAGGTGCCTGGATCATGGGGTGGGTTCTCGTGGTTCAGCACCATCCCCCTAGTGCTGTTCTCATGATAGAGTTCTCACGAGATGGGGTTGTTTAAAGGTGGATGGCATCCCTCGCCCCCCTTGCTCTGGCTGTGTGACGTGCTGGCTCCCCCTTCACCTTCCACCATGAGTAAAAGTTTCCTGAGGCCTCCCCAGAAGCGACTAGATGCCAGTATCATCCTTCCTGTACAGCATGCAGAAGCATAAACTAAGTATATCTCTTTTCTTTATAAATTACTCAGCCTCAGGTATTTCTTTAGAGCAATACAAGAACAGACTAATACAGTACTAAACTAACTTAAAGATAAGTGAGTGTTCATAAATAAGTAAACCCAAATATTTTCCAAGTTCAGGTAATTTGAGTAAGAATTTTGGTAAATAAAACTAGCTTAATATTGTTTGTTTAATAAAAACAACTGTTTTTGGAGTTATCAGTAAATTATGCTTGCATTTAACTTTAAGGTTCTTGCTTTTACGATACCTGCATAACATACAGTAATATAAAAATGGTTAACAGAAAATTTAACTTGACACAATGGCTGGATTTGTCTAATGTCCCATGAAATTTTCCAAAAAATTAGAATGAATAGATAAATTAAACAGCTGTAAATGGGATAAAGTTTATAAATGAACTTTTAGTAATAATTGTTTTATAATATGTTTACTTAAAAAGGCTTCTCAAAGTTTTTGGTAACTGTACCCTTAAAGCTTTGCTAAGCTAAATTAAATGATGATGATATTCATCGAACATATCAGTCATTTCCAAATAGATATAATACTAAGACAGCAATTATTAAATATGAGTTTAAGCTTATATATTTTGCCTTATTTCAGAGAAACAAATGATATTGAAATCTGTTAGTAAAAATGTCCTGTTCCAAATTGAAACATTGTTCCATTAGAAAGCCTATGTTTCTAAGATTATAAAATGTGTATTCATAAATTGTTGGTACCTGAGTGACAGTTAAAAAAAAATCCCTTACTTCTTAGGTTTACACTATACATTAAGGCTACTAAGAGTTAAAATTCTAACTAATTTCCAGCAACAAAAACTGGAGATAAGAGGAGAAACAATTCTATATACAGAGAGTATAAGAAAATATACTTATTCTTATATAAAAAATATAAGAAGATATATTTTTTGTAAGGAAGCTTTCAAGAAAGACTTGGGGGTGTGATTTTATTACAGGAAAGTGGCTTTGCCTAATGTAAAGGTTATTCTAAGGTTGCATTTAATGGAAAGAATAAAAGAAGAAAGAAAAAGATAAACTGAAGGATATACAAAGTTGAGAAAAGAAAGAGAATGGAAAAATGTGTAAGAGGTTATAAAATATTTATGAAAATTTTATCTTGTGTGTCAAAGCTGATTGAGATTAAATGGATTCGTTTATAAGATTTTATTAAAATTTGCTTCAGCATTAATAATATGCCAATGCAAAGGTGATTTTTTTTGTTTTGAGCAAGATTTTCATGTAATATTAATAGGAGATAGTAAAAGATTTTTCATTTACATTCAGAGTAGATTGCAAAAAGGGTGGGGGGGAGAGTGACAGATTCTGTTGGCCTCATGCTTCCTTTACGAAGTCTGTTAATTGTTTCGAAAACTGCATATCCTCTCTATCAAAGAGTAATGGTTTTTGCTGTTGAAATCTTTTGATTATCACTTTGTTTAAATGAATCACTGTTATTTCTCAGTGACTTGTGTTGCTGTTTTGTTCAAGTGTGTTAAACCTTTGAGATATTTGATATAGGCTTTCCAAAATAAAATTTCAAAATCTAAAATTGCCTTTTTGACCTTAAAATAATTTTTGAACATTAAGACCTCTGGAAGTCCAAATAGGGCTCCTGCAAGTCCAAGAAAGGCATATTACGTTTCCTTGGTATGTAAAAATCATAAGAGAAACAATATCACATAAAAAGTCGTTTTAACTTATTTGTTATATTTGTTTGGATATATTATAAATATATGTACCAAAATTGTATAAGATGTCTTTAAAAAATCTGATATGCAGGCTGGGTGCAGCGGCTCATGCCTGTAATCCCAGCACTTTGGGAGGCTGAGGCAGGTGGATCACTGGAGGTCAGGAGATCGAGACCATCCTTGCCAACATGGTGAAACCCCATCTCTACTAAAAATATAAAATTAGCTGGGCGTGGTCACAGGTGCCTGTAATCCCAGTTACTCAGGAGGCTGAGGCAAGAGAATCACTTGAAACCGGGAGGCAGAGGTGGCGGTGAGCTGAGATCACACCACTGCATTCCAGCCTGGGTGACAGAGTGAGACTCCATCTCAAAAAAAAAAAATCTGATATGCCTAGGTATATATTATCAGTGATAATCCTGACTACGTTTAATTGCTGTATGTCACAGAAATAACCAAATTTCTTTGCCAATTGAGTCTTTAACCATGGCTATTCTGTCTTTTGTCACCCACAGGCAATTATTGTTTCACTGTAACTTTTCTAAAAAAGCATAATCAACTACAGTAAAAGCTTTGAATCTTATTAACAAAATGAACGAAGGATCACAAGTACACTTAAATGAGGGTTTCTGATAACTTTGGAGATCATCCTATTAGACTACTTAAAAACTTCCAGAACTTTAAAACAAAACCAGAACCAAAACTGATGTGTTCATGAGGATTGCTAACACAACATTAAACAGAGTGAGAACTAAATACATGAACTGATACTGGACTGAAATAACTTGTATAACTTTTTGTTTGAAACATTGCTGATCACATTTTGTTTACAGAGTAAAAAAGTCTTTCTTTTTTTCTTTTAAACTATTTACAGCTTACAGCAATTGGGTAAACTATACTTTTGTGAGCAAAACTTAAACATTTACCTTTCCCTTTACCTTATTTCTCCAGAATTCAGAAACCATTCATGAGTATTCTTATTTTATGGTGACAGAGTTATTTGCATAAGTTCAATAAAAGTCTATTTTCTTTTGTAATAGGACTTGACTGGAGGCACTGGTCATTTTATCAAGGCTTTGATAATGAAATGGCATATTTTTAGATATAACCAGACTGCCTTGAGGAACTGACGTTGACTTTATAGGGCCAGTAAATAGTACCTTGGAAAGACTGGCATGGTCACTTGCTTACAAGGTTCCCTTACAAGATTCCTGACCTTGCGGCAAGCACAGAACATCACTTTCAGACAGGCCTAGGAACCTAAAGATATTTTGGGAACTTGAAAAGGAAGGAATTCACCCAATTCATACAGATACTACCAGCACAGTCTGATGGTCAATACTTGGCTTGGCTTCCCAGCCTCAAGAGTCTTTAAAGAGTCTAATCTGAAATTCCCTAAGAAAATATTCTGGCAAAACCAACGTAGAAGGAACCCATGTGGCCAGTCATTATTATTGCTGCACTTTATGCAAATAACCAGGCCTAACATAATAAAACTAAAACTTATTTTAAAAATAAATTGGGCCTACTATGATTTATCTTTGGTAAAACTGGGGGACTGGAGAGAGAAAATTTATGTTCCAACTGCACACCTGTTATTAGATTCTAGCGCTGACCATTGTTTTTGAATTTTTATTATTTGCTTACAACTTAGGCTGAATTCTGAATTATTTCCTGGCTCCAAGAAGTCTCTAAAGAAGAACCTAAATTTAATTTTATTCATGAAGTTTTTAGTTGACTTCCTAATAGAATAGGTTCTCTTTTTTTCATTCTGGCTTGAAAATTTTCTTCTTTATTAAAATCCTTATATGCACTATATTTCTACTCTTCAAATTATCAATGTTATGCATGTCTTATTGTTTTACTTCTGAGAAAACTTAAACTGTGGCATTCCAAAGACTAGAGATGATTCAATAAGCAACAGCAGCTATGAAAATCAGAGACTTGACTGAAGGCTCATTTCTGCCACTCTGCAACACTGTCCCAACTCAGCTACTGGGCGCTAACACCATCCCAACTCAGCCATACTGGGGAGTCTCCGCCATGTGACTGTTAGCCAACTCTCAGCCTACTGGGACCCTCAGCCATGTGACTGTTAGCCATGTCCCAGACTACTGGGGGGTCTCAGGCATGTGACTGTTACCCATGTCCCAGCCTACTAGGGGGTGTCAGCCATGTGACATTACCCATGTACCAGCCTATGGGGGAGTCTCAGCTATGTGACTGTTACCTATGTACCAGCCTACTGGGGGGTCTTAGCCATGTGACTGTCAGCCATGTCCCTGACTAACCTGGGCTGGGGAGGTCTCAGCAATGTGACTGTTACCCATGTCCCACATTACTGGGTGGCGGGAGGTCTCAGCAATATGACTGTTAGCCATGTCCCAGACTACTGGGGGGCATCTCAGCCATGTGACTGTTAGCCATGTCCCAGCCTACTAGGGGGTCTCAGCCATGTGACTGTTAGCCATGTCCCACACTACTGGGTGGGGGGAGGTCTCAGCCATGTGACTGTTAGCCATGTTCCAGCCTACTAGGGGGTCTCAGCCATGTGACTGTTAGTCTTGTCCCAGTCTACTGGGGGGTCTTAGCCATGTGACTGTTACCCATGTCCCAGCCTACAGGGGGTCTCAGCCATGTGACTGTTAGTCTTGTCCCAGTCTACCGGGGGGTCTTAGCCATGTGACTGTTACCCATGTCCCAGCCTACAGGGGGTCTCAGCCATGTGACTGTTAGTCTTGTCCTAGTCTACTGGGGGGTCTCAGGCATGTGACTGTGAGCCATGTCCCAGCCTATGGGGGGTCTCAACCATGTGACTGTTAGCCATGTCCCAGCCTACTGGGGGTCTCAGCCATGTGTCCTTCAGAGTTTTATTGGTGTTTCCACCCACTTTCATGATGAAACAGCTGTGGTCAGGGCTTCACTTCTGCTACTTCTTGTTGCAATAAAAGCCACTGAGCTCCAAGCTGACCAGAAGCTGTCCTTGGAAATCCAAGTGTTTTCCTCTATGAAAAAGATTCTGATCAGAGAGACAGACCCTACCCACCTCCTTTCCACTTCCTACCTCTCCTTAGGTCAACTCTTAAGAAAGGAGGCAGATGCCTGGAGCTAAGTAGGCTCTGCCTCTGACTCACAGCACAATGTTTCTTTTGGTCAAAATTTTCTGAATCTGTTAAAATGTGTGGACCTGGGGTAGATCATGTCTAATTTACAGGGTTATTGAGAAAAGTAAGGGGTTGGCTCATGAGTTTTACAAAGTGAATGTGCCCTATGAATGAAATGGCCTTGAGCGGCGGCACTTCCTGCTTGGATCTGGGCCTTCCTCTGAGCCCTCTTTCAAAAGGTGGAGGGTGGGATATTCATGAAAGCAATCCCTGCTCAGTGACGTTCAGTGGCAGGGGCCCTTCCCAGGTTCCCACGTGCAAAGTGCCCCCAAATCATTGGGCAGCGATAGGTTCCCTTGTATCAACCCCAAGCAGTAGAGGGGAGCCTCCAAGACCACAGATTACTCAGGTACCCCAGTAGGAAAGGAGCCTCTGAGGACTCTGCACCAGAAGGGTAGAAGGAGGGGGAGAGAGAGAGAGACAGAGTGAGAGAGATAGAGACAGAGACAAAGAGAGAGGTGGTCAGAGACTCAGGGAGTTGAATCTGGTACCAGATGTCTTCAAAACCATCTAAGGAGGCCATATTAATTTTTATTATTTCTCCTGGGGCCAACTCAGGTTTAAACAGTTAAAGTGTTATGGGGTCTGCATTGGAACTCCAGCTCCATTCCCTTTCAACCTCAGTTCCTCTCTAGGAAATGAAGTCCCAGGACGCACCTGACCTGGTTTCTGGGGATGTGGATTTTCGCTCCTAGGGCCCTAAATATTCCCGTGTCTCTGGCTTTGGGGGAGTTAGCTGCTGACACTCCAGGGTTGCCTCTGGAGAGCAGTCTTCATTCTGACTTGCCCCTGCTGCAAGTGAAGTTTTGTGACTGAATGCTTTAACTTCAATTTACCATTTTGAAAACTTTAGTTACTGAATGATAATACACTTGCTTGTTGCCACTGCTTAGAAAAAAGATTTGATTCAACTATATTTTTTTGTTAGTTTGAATATTGTGTTTCTGGATGCAGCTATTGAGAGACTTAAAACCAAAACAAAGATGTTGTGTTCAAACATCCTAAAAGTAGTCAACTCATTTTTCTGGAATGAATCGACTATCCAGCCTTCTATCAAAGGTTATTAATTTTAAAAATGGAAAGAGAAGAGAAGGAAGGGAAGGAAAGAAGAAAGGAAGGAAGGAAGGAGAGAAGGAAGGAAGGAAGGAGGGAAGGAAGAAAGAAGGAAAGGAAGGAAGGAAGGAGGGAGGGAGGCAAGGAAGGAGGGAGGGAGAAAGAAGGCTTTGCTTTTGTTTTCATTTTCTTGAGATGAGAATTTTAAAAATAATTTCAGATCTGTATTAGGGAAGGGGGCGTTGTGCTTCACATGTATCATATTAATTGTTTATGCTCTTCCTTTTGATATCCGTCTGCATGAGAACATTTAGAAGCCCCTGGTTCATGCACAGGGAGATGGGAAATTCTCTGTTGGATGACATTTTGCTGGGACTGGCCCTCCCTCCTGGCACCATCTGGCTTCCTGAAATAGTTTTCTCAGCACCCTCGATTCAGTCTTTTCAGTGATAAATGCTGTGGGCATCGATCGGTGCTCCTGCCAAGAAAACTCAGCAGCCAGGTCTCAGTATCAGAAACACCCCAATTTCCTTCTGGTCTGCCACCCCCTCCGTGGTCCTAAACACTCAGGTGCCCACGCCCAATCTTCCTCCATCTGCGGCTGGCACACTCGGCTGACTCATTGATGGCAGAGGCGTAATTTTCAGTGGGGTTTACTCTCACAGATCATTATAGAGTGAAAAATACACGGTAGTGTTTCTCCCAGAGACATGATTCTTCAGTAAAATGTGCCCTGCTTTCAAGGCACAACCTCTGCTTCATGGATATATATGTGGGAATATCAGAAACTTCTGTATGCATCTGCATGGAGTCATTAAGGTATCTCATTTTAATGATAGTAGGAACAATTTTCTCTTTAGAACTGATGAAACTCCAGTGAGCATTAAGGTATCCCATTTTCCTGACAATAGGAACAATTTTCTCCTTAGAACTGATGAAACTCCTGTGAGTATATTTGGCAGTTTCTTTAACAATAATTTGCTCCTTCTTCATTAATTTATTCATTTAAAACATTTAAGTGTACATATGTGCTGACCCTCATGCTGAATATAAAAAAGCTAAACTAAAGTTTCCCTTTGGAGGCTCAGCCTAGAGGCAAAAATGGAATTATAAAGAAATATGCAAAATATAAGCAATATACACAGAAACATGGGGGGGCCTCCCTGGGTATCTTTCGTGGGAATTGGGGAAGGGCAGCTTCCCCTGTGCAGTGAGCGCCAAGCTATGTCTCTATAATCTGACATAATTTGCATGAATAACAAACAGCACAGGATGGAAGTAAATTCTTCATTCAATAACATTTGCTTCCTCTCCACTCTTTTTTTTTAAAGGAAAAAACAGTCAAAGAGGAAGAAAAATATTTTATTTAAAAACTACTGCAACCTAAAATTTCCAGCCATTGGAATCTGTGTGAAATCATCCTACAGTCTTGAATTCTACGTGATTTTTTTCTTTCTTTTCTTTTTTTCTTTCTTTTTTTTTTTTTTTTTGAGAAGGAGTCTCGCTCTGTCACTCAGGCTGGAGTACAGTGGCGCGATGATCTCGGCTCACTGTAAGCTCTGCCTCCCGGGTTCACACCATTCTCCTGCCTCAGCCTCCTGAGTAGCTGGGACTACAGGTGCCCGCAACCAGGCCCGGCTAATTTTTTGTATTTTTAGTAAAGATGGTTTCACTGTGTCAGCCAGGATGGTCTCGATCTCATGACCTCATGATTCACCCGCCTCAGCCTCCCAAAGTGCTGAGATTACAGGCATGAGCCACCATGCCCGGCCAATTCTACGTGATTTTTGCAAATAATGGATGGTAGGAATATTTCACTCTGCTCCCCAAGCCCCAGAACTCCTCCCTAGATTTCAGGAGAAACTCAAGTGTTCCCATCATGCACTAATTACTAAGGTAGCGTCCTGGTAGAATATTCCAGAAATATTTTCAACAACTACTAAAAGGAAACTTGTTTCATGGTTACCACTCATTTCACTAGAAAATCAACTTACTAGGAATATTGTTTTCTCTGGCACTCCTGGTTAATTGATGTATTGAGATAATAAAATGTTCCTATTTCTTAAGACAACATATTGCTAACATCCAAGATTTGCAATAGCTATGAGTTTCAACTCAGAATTCATTCCCGTGGACTCCTTAAGTCTTGCATTAGCTTCTAGAGTTTTCATTTCCCAGCTGCCATGTTCTAACTTTCTGTATATCTCATACGTTGATAAATGCACAACCTCAGTGTGTGAAGGTGACTTCTGAAAATGCCCACGGTCACCCATCACCCATGCACTAAGTGTTTGCAGTTATCCACATATGTGTTTCCTACTCTGTGGGATAAGGTGGGAAATGCTGTCATCCTCATCTGTGTCCCCTCTTCTTCCTGTGTAAGCTGTGAGGCCCTTGCCTGCACAGAGCCCAGGGAGCTGAGGGGCCCAAGCGACGTGCCCAGGGCCCTCGGGTCACTGCTCTTGTGAGGTCCCTACCTCTGTCTACCCAAGTTCCTCCCTCTCATCCCAGGGGTGCCACGGAGGGGCCTTGGGCGGCTCTGAGATCCAGCACGGGAAATGGAGGTGGAGGTTTTTTTAGTTTGGGTTTGTTGGGACATATTTATGTGCCCTACACTCATTTCTAAGTGTAGCTAGGTTGCTGTATTTGCAGTTTTACATTTTTTTTTCATAAAAAATTTCCACAAATTGTTTAAACTACAAGTCCTACGAATCTGGTATCCATCCCTGTGGCCTCTGTAACTCCCTGGGGCGTTCTCTTTTCCACCAACCCACGATGGAAATAGATGCAATCCAAACAAAGCATCACAAGGCAGCGATGCCGGTCTCAAAGCCTGTGTCCCACCTGAATCTAACATATTTCAAGCCTCTCTGTCTTAGGTGACCTGATACTGGTCTCAAAGCCTGTGTCCCACGTGAATCTAACATATTTCAGGCCTTTCTGTCTTAGGTGACCTGATACTGATGCTCCTTTCATTAACAGATAATCAAGAGCTGACTGATCATTAACAAATAAAACACAAATACATTTAACCTCAACAGACACTGTCAAAAGGGTGTTTCAGATGCCATGGGAGCTGCTGGAGGTCCTGAAGCCTGAGCCCCGGGGATGACAGAGGCTCAGAAAGCCACGGGGACACCGCAGGCGTGAAACCCTCATGGCCACCGTAGACCTCCGGCACCCTCACAGTATGAGACTCAGAGCTCCACAAGATTAAGGCAGCAAAGGTTACGGTGCTCCTCCCCGGTGATGGCGCCCAAGGCAAACAGCTGCATAAATAAACAAACCAGAGGAAGAACATTCTATTTTCATCCCTGATCCATTGACATCCAAGCCAGTGAAATACCAGATGGAAACTGATGTCAAGCCTCTCTCTCCGCGTTCCCACCTTGCTGGTGGCTGACGACCCCAGGATGCGGCTCAGGGCAGCCTGCTGAGAGGTCAGCGCCTTGCCTGCTCAGGCACTGCGGTCAGCACGAGTGCCGCTGCCTCATCGCTCTCCCCCAGCCCAGGAGCCACAGTGTCTGTACCATCTGCATTCAGGTTTTGCTTTTGTCAATTTCCAAAACATAAAAATGTCAAACAATCCCATACAATTTCCGCTGTACTTAAAAGCAACTATAAAATGTCATTTCATTGAGATCAATGAAGAGAGGATCAAAGTTGACCTAAACTTTCACGTATAAAAATGCCATGTGTGACATGTTGCTCAGATTAATTCCATCAGAGAAAAAAATGTGTGCAAAGTATTGACAATCTGTTTCCACACCGTATGTGTTCATGAGTCTATTTTTTAAAATTTATTTTTCAGTTTAGTAAATTTAATCTTTAGTCTTATTAAGTTTATATTAAACTGGCTTGTGGGCAACACATTTATACATAAAATATGGTAAAAGTCAACACCTGTCAATAGTACAATGTCACCTCCAGGCAATGAATTTAAAAGGTCTAAGGTCTTTAATTAACAAAGAAGTTTGTTCTCCATATTATAGTCAATTTATCACATACAGTGTGCAAACAAAATACAGTTTGTAAAACCCTTCCTTTAAATTTTGACTTCTGGTATATTTTAAAATAATGATTTCCTGCTAATATTTACTAAGAAGCTTGTACATTTTAGTAAAATCAAATATTTTGTTTCAGTGGTCACCATTTTAGGATATAAACGTCTCTCTAACACGAAACATCCTATACAGCTTGAGCATCCCAAATCTGAAAATCGAAACCCTGAAATGCTCCAGAATCCCAACCTTCTCCAATGCTGACCTCATGCTAAATGCCCCAGAATCCCAACCTTCTCCAATGCTGGCCTGATGCTCAATGCTCCAGAATCCCAACCTTCTCCAATGCTGACCTGATGCTCAATGCTCCAGAATCCCAACTTTCTCCAATGCTGGCCTGATGCTCAATGCTCCAGAATCCCAACCTTCTCCAATGCTGGCCTGATGCTCAATGCTCCAGAATCCCAACCTTCTCCAATGCTGACCTGATGCTCAATGCTCCAGAATCCCAACCATCTCCAATGCTGGCCTGATGCTAAATGCTCCAGAATCCCAACCTTCTCCAATGCTGGCCTGATGCTCAATGCTCCAGAATCCCAACCTTCTCCAATGCTGGCCTGAGGCTAAATGCTCCAGAATCCCAACCTTCTCCAATGCTGGCCTCATGCTACATGCTCCAGAATCCCAACCTTCTCCAATGCTGACCTGATGCTAAATGTTCCAGAATCCCAACCTTCTCCAATGCTGACCTGATGCTAAATGCTCCAGAATCCCAACCTTCTCCAATGCTGACCTGATGCTAAATGTTCCAGAATCCCAACCTTCTCCAATGCTGGCCTGAGGCTAAATGCTCCAGAATCCCAACCTTCTCCAATGCTGGCCTGAGGCTAAATGCTCCAGAATCCCAACCTTCTCCAATGCTGGCCTCATGCTACATGCTCCAGAATCCCAACCTTCTCCAATGCTGGCCTCATGCTACATGCTCCAGAATCCCAACCTTCTCCAATGCTGGCCTCATGCTATATGCTCCAGAATCCCAACCTTCTCCAATGCTGGCCTGATGCTCAAAGGAAATGTTCATTGGAACATTTTGCTTTTTGGATTTTTGGATTTCAGATGCTTAATCAGTACCTAATCCACAAATATTCCAAAATCTGAAATCCCAAACACTTCTGGTCTCAAGCATTTCAGATAAGGGTCCCAAACACTTCTGGTCTCAAGCATTTCAGATAAGGGATATTTGACCTCGACAGGCTCTTTCGGGTTATCTATTGCCTAATTTTCAGGAAGGACTCGTGCTTCAGGACCTATTGGTTTATTTTTGTGTGCATGGGAGGGGTGGAGATTTTTACCAGCGGACCCTCTGAGCTGTACTTTATGTGTGGGTGGTGGCAGAATAACCCATGCCCCATGCCGCATACCTTCATCTCAATCTGTTTGGTGTCCAGATTCTGAAACAGCAGCTTTACTCGAGTTTTCCCATCATCTGAAGATCCCTTAAGCTGGGAAAATTTAAATCTCCAGAGCACATTCTGTAAAGGAATAAAATTAATTAGCGATTTCTAAACAAGAGCTCATTTATTTAATTAGCATCTGTTACTACATTAAACAGCCTCGTTAAATCAACAGACATTCACTTAATGTTTAAATCGACGTTTAGCATGTGATGATTTGTCAGTCTCTACTTTCTCATTCTTCAATCTTTGCAAACTGACCTCCTCCAGCCCACTCAACTCTCCCGCCCCACAGTCCAGCCTCCAGTAGCTGCCCCACATGTCTTGGGGATGCATCAGCATCCACGGTCCTCAGTCCCATGTCACCTGCAGTCGACCCCTCTGGTCTTCCCTTGTGTTTTCCTGTACACAGCCTTAAAACATCCTATGAGCATTGTTCCTTTTTCTGCTTGGAGAACTTCAGAAAAAATCACTAAAAGTTCCAGTTCTTCCTATATTATATAAGACATAGTCGAAAGTGCAGATAAAATGAAAAACTTTAAGCCTGACTGACACCACCCCATCTATGGCTATATGTGAAACACTAAACCTTAGTTTTTCATGAACCAATTTGAAAAATGTAAAATTAAAAATTAAAAATATCGCCTTTTAATACTACTGCAAAAATCACTTAATGTTTGCTATGGTACGTTAAAGATGAAATGTACTCTACAAACTCTTACTCCCATAAATAAAAAAGGCTGCAGCAAAGAAAGACGTAATGGATGTCTTCTATAAAAGATAGTCTTTAATTATAGATACTTCATTATAATAAATATTTATCTTCCCAGGAAAATTCCACCAGGGAACAGTAATTTTTTTTTTGGCAAGCCATACGTCAAATTTCCATTAAAAGCTTTTATTTTTAAACAATGAACATATTTTTCTCTAAGTGTCAGGAGAGACAAAGGGGCTGCAGAAAACAGGGAAGAAGTTTCAAGAACATTTCTATCCCATCTGACCATTGACGGGTTTATTTCCCGCCCACACGCTAGCCTCAAGATTCTTGGCCACATCTTTTTCTTTATATTAAATCCAGGAGCTAAATAGAATCTCCGCATTTTACGCCAAAGTGTCAAAGCACATGTTTCCTCTAGGTTTTGGGAAAATTAGAACTTCATAGGATC